>NC_000023.11:60041591-60211097 GCF_000001405.40 Homo sapiens
TTTGTGATGTTTGTGTTCGAGCCACAGAGTTTAACATTGCTTTTCATAGAGCAGTTTTGAAATATTCTTTTCGCAGAATCTGCAAGTGGACATTTGGAGCGCTTTCAGGCCTGTGGTGGAAAAGGCCTGAAAGCCTTTTCCTTTATCTTCACAGAAAGACGAGAGAGAAGCATTGTCAGAAACTTCTTTGTGATGATTGCATTCAACTCACAGAGTTGAACATTCCTTTTGAAACAGCAGTTTCGAAACACTCTTTCTGTGGGATCCGCAAGGGGATATTTGGACCTCTTTGAAGGTTTCGTTGGAAACGGGATAATCTTCACCTAAAAGCTAAACGGAAGCATTCTCAGAAACTTCTTTGGGATGTTTGCATTCACCTCACAGAGTTGAACTTTCCCTTTGATAGCGCAGCTTTGACACACTTTTTCTACAATGTGCAAGTGGCTATTTAGCGGGCTTGGAGGACTGTGTTGGAAAAGGAAATATCTTCTCCTAAAAACGACATAGAAGCATTCTCAGAAACTGCTCTGTGATGATTGCATTCAACTCCCAGAGTTGAACATTCCTTTTGATAGAGCAGTTTGCAAACACTCTTTTTGTAGAATCTGCAAGTGGAGATTTGGACCGCTTTGAGGCCTGTGGTAGTGAAGGAAAGAACTTCATATAAAAACCAGACGGTAGCACTCTCAGTAAAATTCTTTGTGACGATAGAGTTTAACTCAGAGAGCTGAACATTCGTTATGATGGAGCAGTTTCCAAACACACATTTTGTAGAATCTGCAAAGGGATATTTGGACCTCTCTGAGGATTTCGTTGGAAATGGGATCAACTTCCCATAACTGAACGGAAGCAAACTCAGAACATTCTTTGTGATGTTTGTATTCAACTCACAGAGTTGAACCTTCCTTTGATAGTTCAGGTTTGCAACACCCTTGTAGTAGAATCTGCAAGTGTATATTTTGACCACTTTGTAGCCTTCGTTTGAAACGTCTATATCTTCACATCAAACCTAGACAGAAGCATTCTCAGAAAGTTTTCTGCGATGACTGCATTCAACTCACAGAGTTGAACAATCCTTCTGATGGAGCAGTTTTGAAACCCTCTTTCTTTGGAATCTGCAAGGGGATATGTGGACCTCTTTGAAGATTTCACTGGAAACGGGATCATCTTCACATAAAAACTAAACAGAAGCATTCTCGGAAACTATTTTGTGATGTTTGTATTCAACTCCCAGAGTTGAACTTTCCTTTTGAAAGAGCAGCTATGAAACACTCTTTTTCGAGAATCTGCAAGTGGACGTTTGGAGGGCTTTGAGGCCTGTGGTGGAAAAGGAAATATCTTCACACAAAAACCAGATAGAAGCATTCTCAGAAACGACTTTGTGAGGATGGCATTCAACTCATGGAGTTGAACAATCCTATTGATAGAGCAGATTGGAATCACTCTTTTTGTAGAATCTGCAAATGGAGATTTGGACTGCTTTGAGGCCTACGGTCGTATAGGAAGGAACTTCATATAAAAGGCAAACGGGAAGCATTCTCAGAATATTCTTTGTGATGATGGAGTTTCACTCACAGAGCTGAACATGCCTTTTGATGGAGCAGTTTCCAAATACACTTTTGGTAGAATCTGCAGGTGGATATTTGGAGCTCTCTGAGGATTTCGTTGGAAACGGGAATAATTTCCCATAACTAAACACAAACACTCTGAGAAAGTTCTTCATGATGAATGCATTTAACTCGCAGAGATGAACCTGCCTTTGAGAGTTCAGGTTCGAAACACTCTTTCTGTAGAATCTGCAAGTGGATATTTGGACCACTGGCTGGCCTTCGTTCGAAACGGGTATATGTTCACGTAAAAACTAAAGAGAAGCATTCTCAGAAACTTCTGAGTGATGATTGCATTCAAGTCACACAGTTGAACCCTCCTTTTGATGGAGCAGTTTTGAAACTGTCTTTTTGTAGAATCTGTAAGTGGATACGTGGACCTCTTTGAAGATTTCTTTGGAAACGGGAATATTTCCACAGAAAAACTAAACTGAAGCATTCTCAGAAACCGCTTTGTGATGTTTGTGTTCGAGCCACAGAGTTTAACATTGCTTTTCATAGAGCAGTTTTGAAATATTCTTTTGGCAGAATCTGCAAGTGGACATTTGGAGCGCTTTCAGGCCTGTGGTGGAAAAGGCCTGAAAGCCTTTTCCTTTATCTTCACAGAAAGACGAGAGAGAAGCATTGTCAGAAACTTCTTTGTGATGATTGCATTCAACTCACAGAGTTGAAGATTCCTTTTGAAACAGCAGTTTCGAAACACTCTTTCTGTGGGATCCGCAAGGGGATATTTGGACCTCTTTGAAGGTTTCGTTGGAAACGGGATAATCTTCACCTAAAAGCTAAACGGAAGCACTCTCAGAAACTTCTTTGGGATGTTTGCATTCACCTCACAGAGTTGAACTTTCCCTTTGATAGCGCAGCTTTGACACACTTTTTCTACAATGTGCAAGTGACTATTTAGCGGGCTTGGAGGACTGTGTTGGAAAAGGAAATATCTTCTCCTAAAAACGACATAGAAGCATTCTCAGAAACTGCTCTGTGATGATTGCATTCAACTCCCAGAGTTGAACATTCCTTTTGATAGAGCAGTTTGCAAACACTCTTTTTGTAGAATCTGCAAGTGGAGATTTGGACCGCTTTGAGGCCTGGGGTAGTGAAGGAAAGAGCTTCATATAAAAACCAGACGGTAGCACTCTCAGAAAATTCTTTGTGACGATGGAGTTTAACTCAGGGAGCTGAACATTCGTTATGATGGAGCAGTTTCCAAACACACGTTTTGTAGTATCTGCAAGGGGATATTTGGACCTCTCTGAGGATTTCGTTGGAAACGGGATCAACTTCCCATAACTGAACGGAAGCAAACTCAGAACATTCTTTGTGATGTTTGTATTCAACTCACAGAGTTGAACCTTCCTTTGATAGTTCAGGTTTGCAACACCCTTGTAGTAGAATCTGCAAGTGTATATTTTGACCACTTTGTAGCCTTCGTTTGAAACGTCTATATCTTCACATCAAACCTAGACAGAAGCATTCTCAGAAAGTTTTCTGCGATGACTGCATTCAACTCACAGAGTTGAACAATCCTTCTGATGGAGCAGTTTTGAAACCCTCTTTCTTTGGAATCTGCAAGGGGATATGTGGACCTCTTTGAAGATTTCACTGGAAACGGGATCATCTTCACATAAAAACTAAACAGAAGCATTCTCGGAAACTACTTTGTGATGTTTGTATTCAACTCCCAGAGTTGAACTTTCCTTTTGAAAGAGCAGCTATGAAACACTCTTTTTCGAGAATCTGCAAGTGGACGTTTGGAGGGCTTTGAGGCCTGTGGTGGAAAAGGAAATATCTTCACATAAAAACTAGATAGAAGCATTCTCAGAAACGACTTTGTGAGGATGGCATTCAACTCATGGAGTTGAACAATCCTATTGATAGAGCAGATTGGAATCACTCTTTTTGTAGAATCTGCAAATGGAGATTTGGACTGCTTTGAGGCCTAAGGTAGTATAGGAAGGAACTTCATATAAAAGGCAAACGGAAGCATTCTCAGAATATTCTTTGTGATGATGGAGTTTCACTCACAGAGCTGAACATGCCTTTTGATGGAGCAGTTTCCAAATACACTTTTGGTAGAATCTGCAGGTGGATATTTGGAGCTCTCTGAGGATTTCGTTGGAAACGGGAATAATTTCCCATAACTAAACACAAACACTCTGAGAAAGTTCTTCATGATGAATGCATTTAACTCGCAGAGATGAACCTGCCTTTGAGAGTTCAGGTTCGAAACACTCTTTCTGTAGAATCTGCAAGTGGATATTTGGACCACTGGTTGGCCTTCGTTCGAAACGGGTATATGTTCACGTAAAAACTAAAGAGAAGCATTCTCAGAAACTTCTGAGTGATGATTGCATTCAAGTCACACAGTTGAACCCTCCTTTTGATGGAGCAGTTTTGAAACTGTCTTTTTGTAGAATCTGTAAGTGGATACGTGGACCTCTTTGAAGATTTCTTTGGAAACGGGAATATTTCCACAGAAAAACTAAACTGAAGCATTCTCAGAAACCGCTTTGTGATGTTTGTGTTCGAGCCACAGAGTTTAACATTGCTTTTCATAGAGCAGTTTTGAAATATTCTTTTCGCAGAATCTGCAAGTGGACATTTGGAGCGCTTTCAGGCCTGTGGTGGAAAAGGCCTGAAAGCCTTTTCCTTTATCTTCACAGAAAGACGAGAGAGAAGCATTGTCAGAAACTTCTTTGTGATGATTGCATTCAACTCAGAGTTGAAGATTCCTTTTGAAACAGCAGTTTCGAAACACTCTTTCTGTGGGATCCGCAAGGGGATATTTGGACCTCTTTGAAGGTTTCGTTGGAAACGGGATAATCTTCACCTAAAAGCTAAACGGAAGCATTCTCAGAAACTTCTTTGGGATGTTTGCATTCACCTCACAGAGTTGAACTTTCCCTTTGATAGCGCAGCTTTGACACACTTTTTCTACAATGTGCAAGTGGCTATTTAGCGGGCTTGGAGGACTGTGTTGGAAAAGGAAATATCTTCTCCTAAAAACGACATAGAAGCATTCTCAGAAACTGCTCTGTGATGATTGCATTCAACTCCCAGAGTTGAACATTCCTTTTGATAGAGCAGTTTGCAAACACTCTTTTTGTAGAATCTGCAAGTGGAGATTTGGACCGCTTTGAGGCCTGTGGTAGTGAAGGAAAGAGCTTCATATAAAAACCAGACGGTAGCACTCTCAGAAAATTCTTTGTGACGATGGAGTTTAACTCAGGGAGCTGAACATTCGTTATGATGGAGCAGTTTCCAAACACACGTTTTGTAGAATCTGCAAGGGGATATTTGGACCTCTCTGAGGATTTCGTTGGAAACGGGATCAACTTCCCATAACTGAACGGAAGCAAACTCAGAACATTCTTTGTGATGTTTGTATTCAACTCACAGAGTTGAACCTTCCTTTGATAGTTCAGGTTTGCAACACCCTTGTAGTAGAATCTGCAAGTGTATATTTTGACCACTTTGTAGCCTTCGTTTGAAACGTCTATATCTTCACATCAAACCTAGACAGAAGCATTCTCAGAAAGTTTTCTGCGATGACTGCATTCAACTCACAGAGTTGAACAATCCTTCTGATGGAGCAGTTTTGAAACCCTCTTTCTTTGGAATCTGCAAGGGGATATGTGGACCTCTTTGAAGATTTCACTGGAAACGGGATCATCTTCACATAAAAACTAAACAGAAGCATTCTCGGAAACTACTTTGTGATGTTTGTATTCAACTCCCAGAGTTGAACTTTCCTTTTGAAAGAGCAGCTATGAAACACTCTTTTTCGAGAATCTGCAAGTGGACGTTTGGAGGGCTTTGAGGCCTGTGGTGGAAAAGGAAATATCTTCACACAAAAACCAGATAGAAGCATTCTCAGAAACTACTTTGTGAGGATGGCATTCAACTCATGGAGTTGAACAATCCTATTGATAGAGCAGATTGGAATCACTCTTTTTATAGAATCTGCAAATGGAGATTTGGACTGCTTTGAGGCCTACGGTAGTACAGGAAGGAACTTCATATAAAAGGCAAACGGAAGCATTCTCAGAATATTCTTTGTGATGATGGAGTTTCACTCACAGAGCTGAACATGCCTTTTGATGGAGCAGTTTCCAAATACACTTTTGGTAGAATCTGCAGGTGGATATTTGGAGCTCTCTGAGGATTTCGTTGGAAACGGGAATAATTTCCCATAACTAAACACAAACACTCTGAGAAAGTTCTTCATGATGAATGCATTTAACTCGCAGAGATGAACCTGCCTTTGAGAGTTCAGGTTCGAAACACTCTTTCTGTAGAATCTGCAAGTGGATATTTGGACCACTGGGTGGCCTTCGTTCGAAACGGGTATATGTTCACATAAAAACTAAAGAGAAGCATTCTCAGAAACTTCTGAGTGATGATTGCATTCAAGTCACACAGTTGAACCCTCCTTTTGATGGAGCAGTTTTGAAACTGTCTTTTTGTAGAATCTGTAAGTGGATACGTGGACCTCTTTGAAGATTTCTTTGGAAACGGGAATATTTCCACAGAAAAACTAAACTGAAGCATTCTCAGAAACCGCTTTGTGATGTTTGTGTTCCAGCCACAGAGTTTAACATTGCTTTTCATAGAGCAGTTTTGAAATATTCTTTTCGCAGAATCTGCAAGTGGACATTTGGAGCGCTTTCAGGCCTGTGGTGGAAAAGGCCTGAAAGCCTTTTCCTTTATCTTCACAGAAAGACGAGAGAGAAGCATTGTCAGAAACTTCTTTGTGATGATTGCATTCAACTCACAGAGTTGAAGATTCCTTTTGAAACAGCAGTTTCGAAACACTCTTTCTGTGGGATCCGCAAGGGGATATTTGGACCTCTTTGAAGGTTTCGTTGGAAACGGGATAATCTTCACCTAAAAGCTAAACGGAAGCATTCTCAGAAACTTCTTTGGGATGTTTGCATTCACCTCACAGAGTTGAACTTTCCCTTTGATAGCGCAGCTTTGACACACTTTTTCTACAATGTGCAAGTGGCTATTTAGCGGGCTTGGAGGACTGTGTTGGAAAAGGAAATATCTTCTCCTAAAAACGACATAGAAGCATTCTCAGAAACTGCTCTGTGATGATTGCATTCAACTCCCAGAGTTGAACATTCCTTTTGATAGAGCAGTTTGCAAACACTCTTTTTGTAGAATCTGCAAGTGGAGATTTGGACCGCTTTGAGGCCTGTGGTAGTGAAGGAAAGAACTTCATATAAAAACCAGACGGTAGCACTCTCAGAAAATTCTTTGTGACGATGGAGTTTAACTCAGGGAGCTGAACATTCGTTATGATGGAGCAGTTTCCAAACACACGTTTTGTAGAATCTGCGAGGGGATATTTGGACCTCTCTGAGGATTTCGTTGGAAACGGGATCAACTTCCCATAACTGAACGGAAGCAAACTCAGAACATTCTTTGTGATGTTTGTATTCAACTCACAGAGTTGAACCTTCCTTTGATAGTTCAGGTTTGCAACACCCTTGTAGTAGAATCTGCAAGTGTATATTTTGACCACTTTGTAGCCTTCGTTTGAAACATGCTATATCTTCACATCAAACCTAGACAGAAGCATTCTCAGAAAGTTTTCTGCGATGACTGCATTCAACTCACAGAGTTGAACAATCCTTCTGATGGAGCAGTTTTGAAACCCTCTTTCTTTGGAATCTGCAAGGGGATATGTGGACCTCTTTGAAGATTTCACTGGAAACGGGATCATCTTCACATAAAAACTAAACAGGAAGCATTCTCGGAAACTACTTTGTGATGTTTGCATTCAACTGCCAGAGTTGAACATTCCTTTTGAAAGAGCAGCTATGAAACACTCTTTTTGGAGAATCTACAAGTGGACGTTTGGAGGGCTTTGAGGCCTGTGGTGGAAAAGGAAATATCTTCACATAAAAACTAGATAGAAGCATTCTCAGAAATTAATTTGTGACGATGGCATTCAACTCACGGAGTTGAACAATCCTATTGATAGAGCAGATTGGAAACACTCTTTTTGTAGAATCTGCAAATGGAGATTTGGACTGCTTTGAGGCCTACGGTAGTATAGGAAGGAAATTCATAAAAAAGCAAACGGAAGCATTCTCAGAATATTCTTTGTGATGATGGAGTTTCACTCACAGAGCTGAACATGCCTTTTGATGGAGCAGTTTCCAAATACACTTTTGGTAGAATCTGCAGGTGGATATTTGGACCACTCTGAGGATTTCGTTGGAAACGGGAATAATTTCCCATAACTAAACACAAAAACGCTGAGAAAGTTCTTCATGATGAATGCATTTAACTCGCAGAGATGAACCTGCCTTTGAGAGTTCAGGTTCGAAACACTCTTTCTGTATAATCTGCAAGTGGATATTTGGACCACTGGGTGGCCTTCGTTCGAAACGGGTATATGTTCACGTAAAAACTAAAGAGAAGCATTCTCAGAAACTTCTGAGTGATGATTGCATTGAAGTCACACAGTTGAACCCTCCTTTTGATGGAGCAGTTTTGAAACTGTCTTTTTGTAGAATCTGTAAGTGGATACGTGGACCTCTTTGAAGATTTCTTTGGAAACGGGAATATTTCCACAGAAAAACTAAACTGAAGCATTCTCAGAAACCGCTTTGTGATGTTTGTGTTCGAGCCGCAGAGTTTAACATTGCTTTTCATAGAGCAGTTTTGAAATATTCTTTTGGCAGAATCTGCAAGTGGACATTTGGACCGCTTTCAGGCCTGTGGTGGCAAAGGCCTGAAAGCCTTTTCCTTTATCTTCACAGAAAGACGAGAGAGAAGCATTGTCAGAAACTTCTTTGTGATGATTGCATTCAACTCACAGAGTTGAAGATTCCTTTTGAAACAGCAGTTTCGAAACACTCTTTCTGTGGGATCCGCAAGGGGATATTTGGACCTCTTTGAAGGTTTCGTTGGAAACGGGATAATCCTCACCTAAAAGCTAAACGGGAAGCATTCTCAGAAACTTCTTTGGGATGTTTGCATTCACCTCACAGAGTTGAACTTTCCCTTTGATAGCGCAGCTTCGACACACTTTTTCTACAATGTGCAAGTGGATATTTAGCGGGCTTGGAGGACTGTGTTGGAAAAGGAAATATCTTCTCCTAAAAACGACATACAAGCATTCTCAGAAACTGCTCTGTGATGATTGCATTCAACTCCCAGAGTTGAACATTCCTTTTGATAGAGCAGTTTGCAAATACTCTTTTTGCAGAATCTGCAAGTGGAGATTTGGACCGCTTTGAGGCCTGTGGTAGTAAAGGAAAGAACTTCATATAAAAACTAGATGGTAGCACTCTCAGAAAATTCTTTGTGACGATGGAGTTTAACTCAGAGAGCTGAACATTCGTTATGATGGAGCAGTTTCCAAACACACGTTTTGTAGAATCTGCAAGGGGATATTTGGACCTCTCTGAGGATTTCGTTGGAAACGGTATCAATTTCCCATAACTAAACGGAAGCAAACTCAGAACATTTTTTGTGATGGTTGCATTCATCTCACAGAGTTGAACCTTCCTTTGATAGTTGAGGTTTGCATCACCCTTGTAGTAGAATCTGCAAGTGTATATTTTGACCACTTTGTAGCCTTCGTTTGAAACGTCTATATCTTCACATCAAACCTAGACAGAAGCATTCTCAGAAAGTTTTCTGCGATGACTGCATTCAACTCACAGAGTTGAACAATCCTTTTGATGGAGCAGTTTTGAAACCCTCTTTCTTTGGAATCTGCAAGGGGATATGTGGACCTCTTTGAAGATTTCACTGGAAACGGGATCATCTTCACATAAGAACTAAACAGAAGCATTCTCGGAAACTACTTTGTGATGTTTGTATTCAACTCCCAGAGTTGAACTTTCCTTTTGAAAGAGCAGCTATGAAACACTCTTTTTCGAGAATCTGCAAGTGGACGTTTGGAGGGCTTTGAGGCCTGTGGTGGAAAAGGAAATATCTTCACATAAAAACTAGATAGAAGCATTCTCAGAAACTACTTTGTGAGGATGGCATTCAACTCATGGAGTTGAACAGTCCTATTGATAGAGCAGATTGGAATCACTCTTTTTGTAGAATCTGCAAATGGAGATTTGGACTGCTTTGAGGCCTACGGTAGTATAGGAAGGAACTTCATATAAAAGGCAAACGGAAGCATTCTCAGAATATTCTTTGTGATGATGGAGTTTCACTCACAGAGCTGAACATGCCTTTTGATGGAGCAGTTTCCAAATACACTTTTGGTAGAATCTGCAGGTGGATATTTGGAGCTCTCTGAGGATTTCGTTGGAAACGGGAATAATTTCCCATAACTAAACACAAACACGCTGAGAAAGTTCTTCATGATGAATGCATTGAACTCGCAGAGATGAACCTGCCTTTGAGAGTTCAGGTTCGAAACACTCTTTCTGTAGAATCTGCAAGTGGATATTTGGACCACTGGCTGGCCTTCGTTCGAAACGGGTATATGTTCACGTAAAAACTAAAGAGAAGCGTTCTCAGAAACTTCTGAGTGATGATTGCATTCAAGTCACACAGTTGAACCCTCCTTTTGATTGAGCAGTTTTGAAACTGTCTTTTTGTAGAATCTGTAAGTGGATGCGTGGACCTCTTTGAAGATTTCTTTGGAAACGGGAATATTTCCACAGAAAAACTAAACTGAAGCATTCTCAGAAACTGCTTTGTGATGTTTGTGTTCGAGCCGCAGAGTTTAACATTGCTTTTCATAGAGCAGTTTTGAAATATTCTTTTGGCAGAATCTGCAAGTGGACATTTGGAGCGCTTTCAGGCCTGTGGTGGAAAAGGCCTGAAAGCCTTTTCCTTTATCTTCACAGAAAGACGAGAGAGAAGCATTGTCAGAAACTTCTTTGTGATGATTGCATTCAACTCACAGAGTTGAAGATTCCTTTTGAAACAGCAGTTTCGAAACACTCTTTCTGTGGGATCCGCAAGGGGATATTTGGACCTCTTTGAAGATTTCGTTGGAAACGGGATAATCTTCACCTAAAAGCTAAACGGAAGCATTCTCAGAAACTTCTTTGGGATGTTTGCATTCACCTCACAGAGTTGAACTTTCCCTTTGATAGCGCAGCTTCGACACACTTTTTCTACAATGTGCAAGTGGATATTTAGCGGACTTGGAGGACTGTGTTGGAAAAGGAAATATCTTCTCCTAAAAACGACATAGAAGCATTCTCAGAAACTGCTCTGTGATGATTGCATTCAACTCCCAGAGTTGAACATTCCTTTTGATAGAGCAGTTTGCAAACACTCTTTTTGTAGAATCTGCAAGTGGAGATTTGGACCGCTTTGAGGCCTGTGGTAGTGAAGGAAAGAACTTCATATAAAAACCAGACGGTAGCACCCTCAGAAAATTCTTTGTGACGATGGAGTTTAACTCAGAGAGCTGAACATTCGTTATGATGGAGCAGTTTCCAAACACACGTTTTGTAGAATCTGCAAGGGGATATTTGGACCTCTCTGAGGATTTCGTTGGAAACGGGATCAACTTCCCATAACTGAACGGAAGCAAACTCAGAACATTCTTTGTGATGTTTGTATTCAACTCACAGAGTTGAACCTTCCTTTGATAGTTCAGGTTTGCAACACCCTTGTAGTAGAATCTGCAAGTGTATATTTTGACCACTTTGTAGCCTTCGTTTGAAACGTCTATATCTTCACATCAAACCTAGACAGAAGCATTCTCAGAAAGTTTTCTGCGATGACTGCATTCAACTCACAGAGTTGAACAATCCTTCTGATGGAGCAGTTTTGAAACCCTCTTTCTTTGGAATCTGCAAGGGGATATGTGGACCTCTTTGAAGATTTCACTGGAAACGGGATCATCTTCACATAAAAACTAAACAGAAGCATTCTCGGAAACTACTTTGTGATGTTTGTATTCAACTCCCAGAGTTGAACTTTCCTTTTGAAAGAGCAGCTATGAAACACTCTTTTTCGAGAATCTGCAAGTGGACGTTTGGAGGGCTTTGAGGCCTGTGGTGGAAAAGGAAATATCTTCACATAAAAACTAGATAGAAGCATTCTCAGAAACGACTTTGTGAGGATGGCATTCAACTCATGGAGTTGAACAATCCTATTGATAGAGCAGATTGGAATCACTCTTTTTGTAGAATCTGCAAATGGAGATTTGGACTGCTTTGAGGCCTACGGTCGTATAGGAAGGAACTTCATATAAAAGGCAAACGGAAGCATTCTCAGAATATTCTTTGTGATGATGGAGTTTCACTCACAGAGCTGAACATGCCTTTTGATGGAGCAGTTTCCAAATACACTTTTGGTAGAATCTGCAGGTGGATATTTGGACCTCTCTGAGGATTTCGTTGGAAACGGGAATAATTTCCCATAACTAAACACAAACACTCTGAGAAAGTTCTTCATGATGAATGCATTTAACTCGCAGAGATGAACCTGCCTTTGAGAGTTCAGGTTCGAAACACTCTTTCTGTAGAATCTGCAAGTGGATATTTGGACCACTGGCTGGCCTTCGTTCGAAACGGGTATATGTTCACGTAAAAACTAAAGAGAAGCGTTCTCAGAAACTTCTGAGTGATGATTGCATTCAAGTCACACAGTTGAACCCTCCTTTTGATTGAGCAGTTTTGAAACTGTCTTTTTGTAGAATCTGTAAGTGGATGCGTGGACCTCTTTGAAGATTTCTTTGGAAACGGGAATATTTCCACAGAAAAACTAAACTGAAGCATTCTCAGAAACTGCTTTGTCATGTTTGTGTTCGAGCCGCAGAGTTTAACATTGCTTTTCATAGAGCAGTTTTGAAATATTCTTTTGGCAGAATCTGCAAGTGGACATTTGGAGCGCTTTCAGGCCTGTGGTGGAAAAGGCCTGAAAGCCTTTTCCTTTATCTTCACAGAAAGACGAGAGAGAAGCATTGTCAGAAACTTCTTTGTGATGATTGCATTCAACTCACAGAGTTGAAGATTCCTTTTGAAACAGCAGTTTCGAAACACTCTTTCTGTGGGATCCGCAAGGGGATATTTGGACCTCTTTGAAGATTTCGTTGGAAACGGGATAATCTTCACCTAAAAGCTAAACGGAAGCATTCTCAGAAACTTCTTTGGGATGTTTGCATTCACCTCACAGAGTTGAACTTTCCCTTTGATAGCGCAGCTTCGACACACTTTTTCTACAATGTGCAAGTGGATATTTAGCGGGCTTGGAGGACTGTGTTGGAAAAGGAAATATCTTCTCCTAAAAACGACATAGAAGCATTCTCAGAAACTGCTCTGTGATGATTGCATTCAACTCCCAGAGTTGAACATTCCTTTTGATAGAGCAGTTTGCAAACACTCTTTTTGTAGAATCTGCCAGTGGAGATTTGGACCGCTTTGAGGCCTGTGGTAGTAAAGGAAAGAACTTCATATAAAAACCAGACGGTAGCACTCTCAGAAAATTCTTTGTGACGATGGAGTTTAACTCAGAGAGCTGAACATTCGTTATGATGGAGCAGTTTCCAAACACACGTTTTGTAGAATCTGCAAGGGGATATTTGGACCTCTCTGAGGATTTCGTTGGAAACGGGATCAACTTCCCATAACTGAACGGAAGCAAACTCAGAACATTCTTTGTGATGTTTGCATTCATCTCACAGAGTTGAACCTTCCTTTGATAGTTGAGGTTTGCAACACCCTTGTAGTAGAATCTGCAAGTGTATATTTTGACCACTTTGTAGCCTTCGTTTGAAACGTCTATATCTTCACATCAAACCTAGACAGAAGCATTCTCAGAAAGTTTTCTGCGATGACTGCATTCAACTCACAGAGTTGAACAATCCTTTTGATGGAGCAGTTTTGAAACCCTCTTTCTTTGGAATCTGCAAGGGGATATGTGGACCTCTTTGAAGATTTCACTGGAAACGGGATCATCTTCACATAAGAACTAAACAGAAGCATTCTCGGAAACTACTTTGTGATGTTTGTATTCAACTCCCAGAGTTGAACTTTCCTTTTGAAAGAGCAGCTATGAAACACTCTTTTTCGGGAATCTGCAAGTGGACGTTTGGAGGGCTTTGAGGCCTGTGGTGGAAAAGGAAATATCTTCACTTAAAAACTACATAGAAGCATTCTCAGAAACTACTTTGTGAGGATGGCATTCAACTCATGGAGTTGAACAATCCTATTGATAGAGCAGATTGGAATCACTCTTTTTGTAGAATCTGCAAATGGAGATTTGGACTGCTTTGAGGCCTACGGTAGTATAGGAAGGAACTTCATATAAAAGGCAAACGGAAGCATTCTCAGAATATTCTTTGTGATGACGGAGTTTCACTCACAGAGCTGAACATGCCTTTTCATGGAGCAGTTTCCAAATACACTTTTGGTACAATCTGCAGGTGGATATTTGGAGCTCTCTGAGGATTTCGTTGGAAACGGGAATAATTTCCCATAACTAAACACAAACACGCTGAGAAAGTTCTTCATGATGAATGCATTTAACTCGCAGAGATGAACCTGCCTTTGAGAGTTCAGGTTCAAAACACTCTTTCTGTAGAATCTGCAAGTGGATATTTGGACCACTGGCTGGCCTTCATTCGAAACGGGTATATGTTCACGTAAAAACTAAAGAGAAGCGTTCTCAGAAACTTCTGAGTGATGAATGCATTCAAGTCACACAGTTGAACCCTCCTTTTGATTGAGCAGTTTTGAAACTGTCTTTTTGTAGAATCTGTAAGTGGATGCGTGGACCTCTTTGAAGATTTCTTTGGAAACGGGAATATTTCCACAGAAAAACTAAACTGAAGCATTCTCAGAAACTGCTTTGTGATGTTTGTGTTCGAGCCGCAGAGTTTAACATTGCTTTTCATAGAGCAGTTTTGAAATATTCTTTTGGCAGAATCTGCAAGTGGACATTTGGAGCGCTTTCAGGCCTGTGGGTGGAAAAGGCCTGAAAGCCTTTTCCTTTATCTTCACAGAAAGACGAGAGAGAAGCATTGTCAGAAACTTCTTTGTGATGATTGCATTCAACTCACAGAGTTGAAGATTCCTTTTGAAACAGCAGTTTCGAAACACTCTTTCTGTGGGATCCGCAGGGGGATATTTGGACCTCTTTGAAGATTTCGTTGGAAACGGGATAATCTTCACCTAAAAGCTAAACGGAAGCATTCTCAGAAACTTCTTTGGGATGTTTGCATTCACCTCACAGAGTTGAACTTTCCCTTTGATAGCGCAGCTTCGACACACTTTTTCTACAATGTGCAAGTGGATATTTAGCGGGCTTGGAGGACTGTGTTGGAAAAGGAAATATCTTCTCCTAAAAACGACATAGAAGCATTCTCAGAAACTGCTCTGTGATGATTGCATTCAACTCCCAGAGTTGAACATTCCTTTTGATAGAGCAGTTTGCAAACACTCTTTTTGTAGAATCTGCAAGTGGAGATTTGGACCGCTTTGAGGCCTGTGGTAGTGAAGGAAAGAACTTCATATAAAAACCAGACGGTAGCACTCTCAGAAAATTCTTTGTGACGATGGAGTTTAACTCAGGGAGCTGAACATTCGTTATGATGGAGCAGTTTCCAAACACACGTTTTGTAGAATCTGCGAGGGGATATTTGGACCTCTCTGAGGATTTCGTTGGAAACGGGATCAACTTCCCATAACTGAACGGAAGCAAACTCAGAACATTCTTTGTGATGTTTGTATTCAACTCACACAGTTGAACCTTCCTTTGATAGTTCAGGTTTGCAACACCCTTGTAGTAGAATCTGCAAGTGTATATTTTGACCACTTTGTAGCCTTCGTTTGAAACGTCTATATCTTCACATCAAACCTAGACAGAAGCATTCTCAGAAAGTTTTCTGCGATGACTGCATTCAACTCACAGAGTTGAACAATCCTCTGATGGAGCAGTTTTGAAACCCTCTTTCTTTGGAATCTGCAAGGGGATATGTGGACCTCTTTGAAGATTTCACTGGAAACGGGATCATCTTCACATAAAAACTAAACAGAAGCATTCTCGGAAACTATTTTGTGATGTTTGTATTCAACTCCCAGAGTTGAACTTTCCTTTTGAAAGAGCAGCTATGAAACACTCTTTTTCGAGAATCTGCAAGTGGACGTTTGGAGGGCTTTGAGGCCTGTGGTGGAAAAGGAAATATCTTCACACAAAAACCAGATAGAAGCATTCTCAGAAACTACTTTGTGAGGATGGCATTCAACTCATGGAGTTGAACAATCCTATTGATAGAGCAGATTGGAATCACTCTTTTTATAGAATCTGCAAATGGAGATTTGGACTGCTTTGAGGCCTACGGTAGTACAGGAAGGAACTTCATATAAAAGGCAAACGGAAGCATTCTCAGAATATTCTTTGTGATGATGGAGTTTCACTCACAGAGCTGAACATGCCTTTTGATGGAGCAGTTTCCAAATACACTTTTGGTAGAATCTGCAGGTGGATATTTGGAGCTCTCTGAGGATTTCGTTGGAAACGGGAATAATTTCCCATAACTAAACACAAACACTCTGAGAAAGTTCTTCATGATGAATGCATTTAACTCGCAGAGATGAACCTGCCTTTGAGAGTTCAGGTTCGAAACACTCTTTCTGTATAATCTGCAAGTGGATATTTGGACCACTGGGTGGCCTTCGTTCGAAACGGGTATATGTTCACGTAAAAACTAAAGAGAAGCATTCTCAGAAACTTCTGAGTGATGATTGCATTCAAGTCACACAGTTGAACCCTCCTTTTGATGGAGCAGTTTTGAAACTGTCTTTTTGTAGAATCTGTAAGTGGATACGTGGACCTCTTTGAAGATTTCTTTGGAAACGGGAATATTTCCACAGAAAAACTAAACTGAAGCATTCTCAGAAACTGCTTTGTGATGTTTGTGTTCGAGCCACAGAGTTTAACATTGCTTTTCATAGAGCAGTTTTGAAATATTCTTTTCGCAGAATCTGCAAGTGGACATTTGGAGCGCTTTCAGGCCTGTGGTTGCAAAGGCCTGAAAGCCTTTTCCTTTATCTTCACAGAAAGACGAGAGAGAAGCATTGTCAGAAACTTCTTTGTGATGATTGCATTCAACTCACAGAGTTGAAGATTCCTTTTGAAACAGCAGTTTCGAAACACTCTTTCTGTGGGATCCGCAAGGGGATATTTGGACCTCTTTGAAGGTTTCGTTGGAAACGGGATAATCTTCACCTAAAAGCTAAACGGAAGCATTCTCAGAAACTTCTTTGGGATGTTTGCATTCACCTCACAGAGTTGAACTTTCCCTTTGATAGCGCAGCTTTGACACACTTTTTCTACAATGTGCAAGTGGCTATTTAGCGGGCTTGGAGGACTGTGTTGGAAAAGGAAATATCTTCTCCTAAAAACGACATAGAAGCATTCTCAGAAACTGCTCTGTGATGATTGCATTCAACTCCCAGAGTTGAACATTCCTTTTGATAGAGCAGTTTGCAAACACTCTTTTTGTAGAATCTGCAAGTGGAGATTTGGACCGCTTTGAGGCCTGTGGTAGTGAAGGAAAGAACTTCATATAAAAACCAGACGGTAGCACTCTCAGAAAATTCTTTGTGACGATGGAGTTTAACTCAGGGAGCTGAACATTCGTTATGATGGAGCAGTTTCCAAACACACGTTTTGTAGAATCTGCGAGGGGATATTTGGACCTCTCTGAGGATTTCGTTGGAAACGGGATCAACTTCCCATAACTGAACGGAAGCAAACTCAGAACATTCTTTGTTATGTTTGTATTCAACTCACAGAGTTGAACCTTCCTTTGATAGTTCAGGTTTGCAAAACCCTTGTAGTAGAATCTGCAAGTGTATATTTTGACCACTTTGTAGCCTTCGTTTGAAACGTCTATATCTTCACATCAAACCTAGACAGAAGCATTCTCAGAAAGTTTTCTGCGATGACTGCATTCAACTCACAGAGTTGAACAATCCTTTTGATGGAGCAGTTTTGAAACCCTCTTTCTTTGGAATCTGCAAGGGGATATGTGGACCTCTATGAAGATTTCACTGGAAACGGGATCATCTTCACATAAAAACTAAACAGAAGCATTCTCGGAAACTACTTTGGGATGTTTGTATTCAACTCCCAGAGTTGAACTTTCCTTTTGAAAGAGCAGCTATGAAACACTCTTTTTCGAGAATCTGCAAGTGGACGTTTGGAGGGCTTTGAGGCCTGTGGTGGAAAAGGAAATATCTTCACATAAAAACTAGATAGAAGCATTCTCAGAAACTACTTTGTGAGGATGGCATTCAACTCATGGAGTTGAACAATCCTATTGATAGAGCAGATTGGAATCACTCTTTTTGTAGAATCTGCAAATGGAGATTTGGACTGCTTTGAGGCCTATGGTAGTATAGGAAGGAACTTCATATAAAAGGCAAACGGAAGCATTCTCAGAATATTCTTTGTGATGATGGAGTTTCACTCACAGAGCTGAACATGCCTTTTGATGGAGCAGTTTCCAAATACACTTTTGGTAGAATCTGCAGGTGGATATTTGGAGCTCTCTGAGGATTTCGTTGGAAACGGGAATAATTTCCCATAACTAAACACAAACACTCTGAGAAAGTTCTTCATGATGAATGCATTTAACTCGCAGAGATGAACCTGCCTTTGAGAGTTCAGGTTCGAAACATTCTTTCTGTAGAATCTGCAAGTGGATATTTGGACCACTGGCTGGCCTTGGTTCGAAAAGGTTATATGTTCACGTAAAAACTAAAGAGAAGCATTCTCAGAAACTTCTGAGTGATGATTGCATTCAAGTCACACAGTTGAACCCTCCTTTTGATGGAGCAGTTTTGAAACTGTCTTTTTGTAGAATCTGTAAGTGGATACGTGGACCTCTTTGAAGATTTCTTTGGAAACGGGAATATTTCCACAGAAAAACTAAACTGAAGCATTCTCAGAAACCGCTTTGTGATGTTTGTGTTCAAGCCACAGAGTTTAACATTGCTTTTCATAGAGCAGTTTTGAAATATTCTTTTCGCAGAATCTGCAAGTGGACATTTGGAGCGCTTTCAGGCCTGTGGTGGAAAAGGCCTGAAAGCCTTTTCCTTTATCTTCACAGAAAGACGAGAGAGAAGCATTGTCAGAAACTTCTTTGTGATGATTGCATTCAACTCACAGAGTTGAAGATTCCTTTTGAAACAGCAGTTTCGAAACACTCTTTCTGTGGGATCCGCAAGGGGATATTTGGACCTCTTTGAAGGTTTCGTTGGAAACGGGATAATCTTCACCTAAAAGCTAAACGGAAGCATTCTCAGAAACTTCTTTGGGATGTTTGCATTCACCTCACAGAGTTGAACTTTCCCTTTGATAGCGCAGCTTTGACACACTTTTTCTACAATGTGCAAGTGGCTATTTAGCGGGCTTGGAGGACTGTGTTGGAAAAGGAAATATCTTCTCCTAAAAACGACATAGAAGCATTCTCAGAAACTGCTCTGTGATGATTGCATTCAACTCCCAGAGTTGAACATTCCTTTTGATAGAGCAGTTTGCAAACACTCTTTTTGTAGAATCTGCAAGTGGAGATTTGGACCGCTTTGAGGCCTGTGGTAGTGAAGGAAAGAACTTCATATAAAAACCAGACGGTAGCACTCTCAGAAAATTCTTTGTGACGATGGAGTTTAACTCAGGGAGCTGAACATTCGTTATGATGGAGCAGTTTCCAAACACACGTTTTGTAGAATCTGCGAGGGGATATTTGGACCTCTCTGAGGATTTCGTTGGAAACGGGATCAACTTCCCATAACTGAACGGAAGCAAACTCAGAACATTCTTTGTGATGTTTGTATTCAATTCACAGAGTTGAACCTTCCTTTGATAGTTCAGGTTTGCAACACCCTTGTAGTAGAATCTGCAAGTGTATATTTTGACCACTTTGTAGCCTTCGTTTGAAACGTCTATATCTTCACATCAAACCTAGACAGAAGCATTCTCAGAAAGTTTTCTGCGATGACTGCATTCAACTCACAGAGTTGAACAATCCTTCTGATGGAGCAGTTTTGAAACCCTCTTTCTTTGGAATCTGCAAGGGGATATGTGGACCTCTTTGAAGATTTCACTGGAAACGGGATCATCTTCACATAAAAACTAAACAGAAGCATTCTCGGAAACTACTTTGTGATGTTTGTATTCAACTCCCAGAGTTGAACTTTCCTTTTGAAAGAGCAGCTATGAAACACTCTTTCTCGAGAATCTGCAAGTGGACGTTTGGAGGGCTTGGAGGCCTGTGGTGGAAAAGGAAATACCTTCACATAAAAACTAGATAGAAGCATTCTCAGAAACTACTTTGTGAGGATGGCATTCAACTCATGGAGTTGAACAATCCTATTGATAGAGCAGATTGGAATCACTCTTTTTGTAGAATCTGCAAATGGAGATTTGGACTGCTTTGAGGCCTACGGTCGTATAGGAAGGAACTTCAGATAAAAGGCAAACGGAAGCATTCTCAGAATATTCTTTGTGATGATGGAGTTTCACTCACAGAGCTGAACATGCCTTTTGATGGAGCAGTTTCCAAATACACTTTTGGTAGAATCTGCAGGTGGATATTTGGACCTCTCTGAGGATTTCGTTGGAAACGGGAATAATTTCCCATAACTAAACACAAACACTCTGAGAAAGTTCTTCATGATGAATGCATTTAACTCGCAGAGATGAACCTGCCTTTGAGAGTTCAGGTTCGAAACACTCTTTCTGTAGAATCTGCAAGTGGATATTTGGACCACTGGGTGGCCTTCGTTCGAAACGGGTATATGTTCACGTAAAAACTAAAGAGAAGCATTCTCAGAAACTTCTGAGTGATGATTGCATTCAAGTCACACAGTTGAACCCGCCTTTTGATTGAGCAGTTTTGAAACTGTCTTTTTGTAGAATCTGTAAGTGGATTCGTGGACCTCTTGGAAGATTTCTTTGGAAACGGGAATATTTCCACAGAAAAACTAAACTGAAGCATTCTCAGAAACTGCTTTGTGATGTTGGTGTTCGAGCCGCAGAGTTTAACATTGCTTTTCATAGAGCAGTTTTGAAATATTCTTTTGGCAGAATCTGCAAGTGGACATTTGGAGCGCTTTCAGGCCTGTGGTGGAAAAGGCCTGAAAGCCTTTTCCTTTATCTTCACAGAAAGACGAGAGAGAAGCATTGTCAGAAACTTCTTTGTGATGATTGCATTCAACTCACAGAGTTGTAGATTCCTTTTGAAACAGCAGTTTCGAAACACTCTTTCTGTGGGATCCGCAAGGGGATATTTGGACCTCTTTGAAGATTTCGTTGGAAACGGGATAATCTTCACCTAAAAGTTAAACGGAAGCATTCTCAGAAACTTCTTTGGGATGTTTGCATTCACCTCACAGAGTTGAACTTTCCCTTTGATAGCGCAGCTTCGACACACTTTTTCTACAATGTGCAAGTGGATATTTAGCGGGCTTGGAGGACTGTGGTGGAAAAGGAAATATCTTCTCCTAAAAACGACATAGAAGCATTCTCAGGAACTGCTCTGTGATGATTGCATTCAACTCCCAGAGTTGAACATTCCTTTTGATAGAGCAGTTTGCAAACACTCTTTTTGTAGAATCTGCAAGTGGAGATTTGGACCGCTTTGAGGCCTGTGGTAGTAAAGGAAAGAACTTCATATAAAAACTAGACGGTAGCACTCTCAGAAAATTCTTTGTGACGATGGAGTTTAACTCAGAGAGCTGAACATTCGTTATGATGGAGCAGTTTCCAAACACACGTTTTGTAGAATCTGCAAGGGGATATTTGGACCTCTCTGAGGATTTCGTTGGAAACGGTATCAATTTCCCATAACTAAACGGAAGCAAACTCAGAACATTTTTTGTGATGGTTGCATTCATCTCACAGAGTTGAACCTTCCTTTGATAGTTGAGGTTTGCATCACCCTTGTAGTAGAATCTGCAAGTGTATATTTTGACCACTTTGTAGCCTTCGTTTGAAACGTCTATATCTTCACATCAAACCTAGACAGAAGCATTCTCAGAAAGTTTTCTGCGATGACTGCATTCAACTCACAGAGTTGAACAATCCTTTTGATGGAGCAGTTTTGAAACCCTCTTTCTTTGGAATCTGCAAGGGGATATGTGGACCTCTTTGAAGATTTCACTGGAAACGGGATCATCTTCACATAAGAACTAAACAGAAGCATTCTCGGAAACTACTTTGTGATGTTTGTATTCAACTCCCAGAGTTGAACTTTCCTTTTGAAAGAGCAGCTATGAAACACTCTTTTTCGAGAATCTGCAAGTGGACGTTTGGAGGGCTTTGAGGCCTGTGGTGGAAAAGGAAATATCTTCACATAAAAACTAGATAGAAGCATTCTCAGAAACGACTTTGTGAGGATGGCATTCAACTCATGGAGTTGAACAGTCCTATTGATAGAGCAGATTGGAATCACTCTTTTTGTAGAATCTGCAAATGGAGATTTGGACTGCTTTGAGGCCTACGGTAGTATAGGAAGGAACTTCATATAAAAGGCAAACGGAAGCATTCTCAGAATATTCTTTGTGATGATGGAGTTTCACTCACAGAGCTGAACATGCCTTTTGATGGAGCAGTTTCCAAATACACTTTTGGTAGAATCTGCAGGTGGATATTTGGAGCTCTCTGAGGATTTCGTTGGAAACGGGAATAATTTCCCATAACTAAACACAAACACTCTGAGAAAGTTCTTCATGATGAATGCATTTAACTCGCAGAGATGAACCTGCCTTTGAGAGTTCAGGTTCGAAACACTCTTTCTGTAGAATCTGCAAGTGGATATTTGGACCACTGGGTGGCCTTCGTTCGAAACGGGTATATGTTCACGTAAAAACTAAAGAGAAGCATTCTCAGAAACTTGTGAGTGATGATTGCATTCAAGTCACACAGTTGAACCCTCCTTTTGATGGAGCAGTTTTGAAACTGTCTTTTTGTAGAATCTGTAAGTGGATACGTGGACCTCTTTGAAGATTTCTTTGGAAACGGGAATATTTCCACAGAAAAACTAAACTGAAGCATTCTCAGAAACCGCTTTGTGATGTTTGTGTTCGAGCCGCAGAGTTTAACATTGCTTTTCATAGAGCAGTTTTGAAATATTCTTTTGGCAGAATCTGCAAGTGGACATTTGGAGCGCTTTCAGGCCTGTGGTGGAAAAGGCCTGAAAGCCTTTTCCTTTATCTTCACAGAAAGACGAGAGAGAAGCATTGTCAGAAACTTCTTTGTGATGATTGCATTCAACTCACAGAGTTGAAGATTCCTTTTGAAACAGCAGTTTCGAAACTCTCTTTCTGTGGGATCCGCAAGGGGATATTTGGACCTCTTTGAAGGTTTCGTTGGAAACGGGATAATCTTCACCTAAAAGCTAAACGGAAGCATTCTCAGAAACTTCTTTGGGATGTTTGCATTCACCTCACAGAGTTGAACTTTCCCTTTGATAGCGCAGCTTTGACACACGTTTTCTACAATGTGCAAGTGGCTATTTAGCGGGCTTGGAGGACTGTGTTGGAAAAGGAAATATCTTCTCCTAAAAACGACATAGAAGCATTCTCAGAAACTGCTCTGTGATGATTGCATTCAACTCCCAGAGTTGAACATTCCTTTTGATAGAGCAGTTTGCAAACACTCTTTTTGTAGAATCTGCAAGTGGAGATTTGGACCGCTTTGAGGCCTGTGGTAGTGAAGGAAAGAACTTCATATAAAAACCAGACGGTAGCACTCTCAGAAAATTCTTTGTGACGATGGAGTTTAACTCGGGGAGCTGAACATTCGTTATGTTGGAGCAGTTTCCAAACACACGTTTTGTAGAATCTGCAAGGGGATATTTGGACCTCTCTGAGGATTTCGTTGGAAACGGGATCAACTTCCCATAACTGAACGGAAGCAAACTCAGAACATTCTTTGTGATGTTTGTATTCAACTCACAGAGTTGAACCTTCCTTTGATAGTTCAGGTTTGCAACACCCTTGTAGTAGAATCTGCAAGTGTATATTTTGACCACTTTGTAGCCTTCGTTTGAAACGTCTATATCTTCACATCAAACCTAGACAGAAGCATTCTCAGAAAGTTTTCTGCGATGACTGCATTCAACTCACAGAGTTGAACAATCCTTCTGATGGAGCAGTTTTGAAACCCTCTTTCTTTGGAATCTGCAAGGGGATATGTGGACCTCTTTGAAGATTTCACTGGAAACGGGATCATCTTCACATAAAAACTAAACAGAAGCATTCTCGGAAACTACTTTGTGATGTTTGTATTCAACTCCCAGAGTTGAACTTTCCTTTTGAAAGAGCAGCTATGAAACACTCTTTTTCGAGAATCTGCAAGTGGACGTTTGGAGGGCTTTGAGGCCTGTGGTGGAAAAGGAAATATCTTCACATAAAAACTAGATAGAAGCATTCTCAGAAACTACTTTGTGAGGATGGCATTCAACTCATGGAGTTGAACAATCCTATTGATAGAGCAGATTGGAATCACTCTTTTTGTAGAATCTGCAAATGGAGATTTGGACTGCTTTGAGGCCTAAGGTCGTATAGGAAGGAACTTCATATAAAAGGCAAACGGAAGCATTCTCAGAATATTCTTTGTGATGATGGAGTTTCACTCACAGAGCGGAACATGCCTTTTGATGGAGCAGTTTCCAAATACACTTTTGGTAGAATCTGCAGGTGGATATTTGGAGCTCTCTGAGGATTTCGTTGGAAACGGGAATAATTTCCCATAACTAAACACAAACACTCTGAGAAAGTTCTTCATGATGAATGCATTTAACTCGCAGAGATGAACCTGCCTTTGAGAGTTCATGTTCGAAACACTCTTTCTGTAGAATCTGCAAGTGGATATTTGGACCACTGGGTGGCCTTCGTTCGAAACGGGTATATGTTCACGTAAAAACTAAAGAGAAGCATTCTCAGAAACTTCTGAGTGATGATTGCATTCAAGTCACACAGTTGAACCCTCCTTTTGATGGAGCAGTTTTGAAACTGTCTTTTTGTAGAATCTGTAAGTGGATACGTGGACCTCTTTGAAGATTTCTTTGGAAACGGGAATATTTCCACAGAAAAACTAAACTGAAGCATTCTCAGAAACCGCTTTGTGATGTTTGTGTTCGAGCCACAGAGTTTAACATTGCTTTTCATAGAGCAGTTTTGAAATATTCTTTTCGCAGAATCTGCAAGTGGACATTTGGAGCGCTTTCAGGCCTGTGGTGGAAAAGGGCCTGAAAGCCTTTTCCTTTATCTTCACAGAAAGACGAGAGAGAAGCATTGTCAGAAACTTCTTTGTGATGATTGCATTCAACTCACAGAGTTGAAGATTCCTTTTGAAACAGCAGTTTCGAAACACTCTTTCTGTGGGATCCGCAAGGGGATATTTGGACCTCTTTGAAGGTTTCGTTGGAAACGGGATAATCTTCACCTAAAAGCTAAACGGAAGCATTCTCAGAAACTTCTTTGGGATGTTTGCATTCACCTCACAGAGTTGAACTTTCCCTTTGATAGCGCAGCTTTGACACACTTTTTCTACAATGTGCAAGTGACTATTTAGCGGGCTTGGAGGACTGTGTTGGAAAAGGAAATATCTTCTCCTAAAAACGACATAGAAGCATTCTCAGAAACTGCTCTGTGATGATTGCATTCAACTCCCAGAGTTGAACATTCCTTTTGATAGAGCAGTTTGCAAACACTCTTTTTGTAGAATCTGCAAGTGGAGATTTGGACCGCTTTGAGGCCTGTGGTAGTGAAGGAAAGAACTTCATATAAAAACCAGACGGTAGCACTCTCAGAAAATTCTTTGTGACGATGGAGTTTAACTCAGGGAGCTGAACATTCGTTATGATGGAGCAGTTTCCAAACACACGTTTTGTAGAATCTGCGAGGGGATATTTCGACCTCTCTGAGGATTTCGTTGGAAACGGGATCAACTTCCCATAACTGAACGGAAGCAAACTCAGAACATTCTTTGTGATGTTTGTATTCAACTCACAGAGTTGAACCTTCCTTTGATAGTTCAGGTTTGCAACACCCTTGTAGTAGAATCTGCAAGTGTATATTTTGACCACTTTGTAGCCTTCGTTTGAAACGTCTATATCTTCACATCAAACCTAGAAAGAAGCATTCTCAGAAAGTTTTCTGCGATGACTGCATTCAACTCACAGAGTTGAACAATCCTTTTGATGGAGCAGTTTTGAAACCCTCTTTCTTTGGAATCTGCAAGGGGATATGTGGACCTCTTTGAAGATTTCACTGGAAACGGGATCATCTTCACATAAGAACTAAACAGAAGCATTCTCGGAAACTACTTTGTGATGTTTGTATTCAGCTCCCAGAGTTGAACTTTCCTTTTGAAAGAGCAGCTATGAAACACTCTTTTTCGAGAATCTGCAAGTGGACGATTGGAGGGCTTTGAGGCCTGTGGTGGAAAAGGAAATATCTTCACATAAAAACTAGATAGAAAGCATTCTCAGAAACGACTTTGTGAGGATGGCATTCAACTCATGGAGTTGAACAATCCTATTGATAGAGCAGATTGGAATCACTCTTTTTGTAGAATCTGCAAATGGAGATTTGGACTGCTTTGAGGCCTACGGTCGTATAGGAAGGAACTTCATATAAAAGGCAAACGGAAGCATTCTCAGAATATTCTTTGTGATGATGGAGTTTCACTCACAGAGCTGAACATGCCTTTTGATGGAGCAGTTTCCAAATACACTTTTGGTAGAATCTGCAGGTGGATATTTGGACCTCTCTGAGGATTTCGTTGGAAACGGCAATAATTTCCCATAACTAAACACAAACACGCTGAGAAAGTTCTTCATGTTGAATGCATTGAACTCGCAGAGATGAACCTGCCTTTGAGAGTTCAGGTTCGAAACACTCTTTCTGTAGAATCTGCAAGTGGATATTTGGACCACTGTGTGGCCTTCGTTCGAAACGGGTATATGTTCACGTAAAAACTAAAGAGAAGCATTCTCAGAAACTTCTGAGTGATGATTGCATTCAAGTCACACGGTTGAACCCTCCTTTTGATTGAGCAGTTTTGAAACTGTCTTTTTGTAGAATCTGTAAGTGGATGCGTGGACCTCTTTGAAGATTTCTTTCGAAACGGGAATATTTCCACAGAAAAACTAAACTGAAGCATTCTCAGAAACTGCTTTGTGATGTTTGTGTTCGAGCCACAGAGTTTAACATTGCTTTTCATAGAGCAGTTTTGAAATATTCTTTTGGCAGAATCTGCAAGTGGACATTTGGAGCGCTTTCAGGCCTGTGGTGGAAAAGGCCTGAAAGCCTTTTCCTTTATCTTCACAGAAAGACGAGAGAGAAGCATTGTCAGAAACTTCTTTGTGATGATTGCATTCAACTCACAGAGTTGAAGATTCCTTTTGAAACAGCAGTTTCGAAACACTCTTTCTGTGGGATCCGCAAGGGGATATTTGGACCTCTTTGAAGATTTCGTTGGAAACGGGATAATTTTCACCTAAAAGCTAAACGGAAGCATTCTCAGAAACTTCTTTGGGATGTTTGCATTCACCTCACAGAGTTGAACTTTCCCTTTGATAGCGCAGCTTCGACACACTTTTTCTACAATGTGCAAGTGGATATTTAGCGGGCTTGGAGGACTGTGTTGGAAAAGGAAATATCTTCTCCTAAAAACGACATAGAAGCATTCTCAGAAACTGCTCTGTGATGATTGCATTCAACTCCCAGAGTTGAACATTCCTTTTGATAGAGCAGTTTGCAAACACTCTTTTTGTAGAATCTGCAAGTGGAGATTTGGACCGCTTTGAGGCCTGTGGTAGTAAAGGAAAGAACTTCATATAAAAACTAGACGGTAGCACTCTCAGAAAATTCTTTGTGACGATGGAGTTTAACTCAGAGAGCTGAACATTCGTTATGATGGAGCAGTTTCCAAACACACGTTTTGTAGAATCTGCAAGGGGATATTTGGACCTCTCTGAGGATTTCGTTGGAAACGGGATCAACTTCCCATAACTGAACGGAAGCAAACTCAGAACATTCTTTGTGATGTTTGTATTCAACTCACAGAGTTGAACCTTCCTTTGATAGTTCAGGTTTGCAACACCCTTGTAGTAGAATCTGCAAGTGTATATTTTGACCACTTTGTAGCCTTCGTTTGAAACGTCTATATCTTCACATCAAACCTAGACAGAAGCATTCTCAGAAAGTTTTCTGCGATGACTGCATTCAACTCACAGAGTTGAACAATCCTTTTGATGGAGCAGTTTTGAAACCCTCTTTCTTTGGAATCTGCAAGGGGATATGTGGACCTCTTTGAAGATTTCACTGGAAACGGGATCATCTTCACATAAGAACTAAACAGAAGCATTCTCGGAAACTATTTTGTGATGTTTGTATTCAACTCCCAGAGTTGAACTTTCCTTTTGAAAGAGCAGCTATGAAACACTCTTTTTCGAGAATCTGCAAGTGGACGTTTGGAGGGCTTTGAGGCCTGTGGTGGAAAAGGAAATATCTTCACACAAAAACCAGATAGAAGCATTCTCAGAAACTACTTTGTGAGGATGGCATTCAACTCATGGAGTTGAACAATCCTATTGATAGAGCAGATTGGAATCACTCTTTTTGTAGAATCTGCAAATGGAGATTTGGACTGCTTTGAGGACTACGGTAGTACAGGAAGGAACTTCATATAAAAGGCAAACGGAAGCATTCTCAGAATATTCTTTGTGATGATGGAGTTTCACTCACAGAGCTGAACATGCCTTTTGATGGAGCAGTTTCCAAATACACTTTTGGTAGAATCTGCAGGTGGATATTTGGAGCTCTCTGAGGATTTCGTTGGAAACGGGAATAATTTCCCATAACTAAACACAAACACTCTGAGAAAGTTCTTCATGATGAATGCATTTAACTCGCAGAGATGAACCTGCCTTTGAGAGTTCAGGTTCGAAACACTCTTTCTGTATAATCTGCAAGTGGATATTTGGACCACTGGGTGGCCTTCGTTCGAAACGGGTATATGTTCACGTAAAAACTAAAGAGAAGCATTCTCAGAAACTTCTGAGTGATGATTGCATTCAAGTCACACAGTTGAACCCTCCTTTTGATGGAGCAGTTTTGAAACTGTCTTTTTGTAGAATCTGTAAGTGGATACGTGGACCTCTTTGAAGATTTCTTTGGAAACGGGAATATTTCCACAGAAAAACTAAACTGAAACATTCTCACAAACCGCTTTGTGATGTTTGTGTTCCAGCCACAGAGTTTAACATTGCTTTTCATAGAGCAGTTTTGAAATATTCTTTTGGCAGAATCTGCAAGTGGACATTTGGAGCGCTTTCAGGCCTGTGGTGGCAAAGGCCTGAAAGCCTTTTCCTTTATCTTCACAGAAAGACGAGAGAGAAGCATTGTCAGAAACTTCTTTGTGATGATTGCATTCAACTCACAGAGTTGAAGATTCCTTTTGAAACAGCAGTTTCGAAACACTCTTTCTGTGGGATCCGCAAGGGGATATTTGGACCTCTTTGAAGGTTTCGTTGGAAACGGGATAATCTTCACCTAAAAGCTAAACGGAAGCATTCTCAGAAACTTCTTTGGGATGTTTGCATTCACCTCACAGAGTTGAACTTTCCCTTTGATAGCGCAGCTTCGACACACTTTTTCTAAAGTGTGCAAGTGGACATTTAGCGGGCTTGGAGGACTGTGTTGGAAAAGGAAATATCTTCTCCTAAAAACGACATAGAAGCATTCTCAGAAACTGCTCTGTGATGATTGCATTCAACTCCCAGAGTTGAACATTCCTTTTGATAGAGCAGTTTGCAAACACTGTTTTTGTAGAATCTGCAAGTGGAGATTTGGACCGCTTTGAGGCCTGAGGTAGTAAAGGAAAGAACTTCATATAAAAACCAGACGGTAGCACTCTCAGAAAATTTTTTGTGACGATGGAGTTTAACTCAGAGAGCTGAACATTCGTTATGATGGAGCAGTTTCCAAACACACGTTTTGTAGAATCTGCAAGGGGATATTTGGACCTCTCTGAGGATTTCGTTGGAAACGGGATCAACTTCCCATAACTGAACGGAAGCAAACTCAGAACATTCTTTGTGATGTTTGTATTCAACTCACAGAGTTGAACCTTCCTTTGATAGTTCAGGTTTGCAACACCCTTGTAGTAGAATCTGCAAGTGTATATTTTGACCACTTTGTAGCCTTCGTTTGAAACGTCTATATCTTCACCTCAAACCTAGACAGAAGCATTCTCAGAAAGTTTTCTGCGATGACAGCATTCAACTCACAGAGTTGAACAATCCTTTTGATGGAGCAGTTTTGAATCCCTCTTTCTTTGGAATCTGCAAGGGGATATGTGGACCTCTTTGAAGATTTCACTGGAAACGGGATCATCTTCACATAAGAAATAAACAGAAGCATTCTCGGAAACTACTTTGTGATGTTTGTATTCAACTCGCAGAGTTGAACTTTCCTTTTGAAAGAGCAGCTATGAAACACTCTTTTTCGAGAATCTGCAAGTGGACGTTTGGAGGGCTTTGAGGCCTGTGGTGGAAAAGGAAATATCTTCACATAAAAACTAGATAGAAGCATTCTCAGAAACGACTTTGTGAGGATGGCATTCAACTCATGGAGTTGAACAATCCTATTGATAGAGCAGATTGGAATCACTCTTTTTGTAGAATCTGCAAATGGAGATTTGGACTGCTTTGAGGCCTACGGTAGTATAGGAAGGTACTTCATATAAAAGGCAAACGGAAGCATTCTCAGAATATTCTTTGTGACGATGGAGTTTCACTCACAGAGCTGAACATGCCTTTTGATGGAGCAGTTTCCAAATACACTTTTGGTAGAATCTGCAGGTGGATATTTGGACCTCTCTGCGGATTTCTTTGGTAACGGGAATAATTTCCCATAACTAAACACAAACACTCTGAGAAAGTTCTTCATGATGAATGCATTGAACTCTCAGAGATGAACCTGCCTTTGAGAGTTCAGGTTCAAAACACTCTTTCTGTAGAATCTGCAAGTGGATATTTGGACCACTGGCTGGCCTTCGTTTGAAACGGGTATATGTTCCCGTAAAAACTAAAGAGAAGCATTCTCAGAAACTTCTGAGTGATGATTGCATTCAAGTCACACAGTTGAACCCTCCTTTTGATGGAGCAGTTTTGAAACTGTCTTTTTGTAGAATCTGTAAGTGGATACGTGGACCTCTTTGAAGATTTCTTTGGAAACGGGAATATTTCCACAGAAAAACTAAACTGAAGCATTCTCAGAAACCGCTTTGTGATGTTTGTGTTCGAGCCACAGAGTTTAACATTGCTTTTCATAGAGCAGTTTTGAAATATTCTTTTCGCAGAATCTGCAAGTGGACATTTGGAGCGCTTTCAGGCCTGTGGTGGAAAAGGCCTGAAAGCCTTTTCCTTTATCTTCACAGAAAGACGAGAGAGAAGCATTGTCAGAAACTTCTTTGTGATGATTGCATTCAACTCACAGAGTTGAAGATTCCTTTTGAAACAGCAGTTTCGAAACACTCTTTCTGTGGGATCCGCAAGGGGATATTTGGACCTCTTTGAAGATTTCGTTGGAAACGGGATAATCTTCACCTAAAAGCTAAACGGAAGCATTCTCAGAAACTTCTTTGGGATGTTTGCATTCACCTCACAGAGTTGAACTTTCCCTTTGATAGCGCAGCTTTGACACACTTTTTCTACAATGTGCAAGTGGCTATTTAGCGGGCTTGGAGGACTGTGTTGGAAAAGGAAATATCTTCTCCTAAAAACGACATAGAAGCATTCTCAGAAACTGCTCTGTGATGATTGCATTCAACTCCCAGAGTTGAACATTCCTTTTGATAGAGCAGTTTGCAAACACTCTTTTTGTAGAATCTGCAAGTGGAGATTTGGACCGCTTTGAGGCCTGTGGTAGTGAAGGAAAGAACTTCATATAAAAACCAGACGGTAGCACTCTCAGAAAATTCTTTGTGACGATGGAGTTTAACTCAGGGAGCTGAACATTCGTTATGATGGAGCAGTTTCCAAACACACGTTTTGTAGAATCTGCGAGGGGATATTTGGACCTCTCTGAGGATTTCGTTGGAAAAGGGATCAACTTCCCATAACTGAACGGAAGCAAACTCAGAACATTCTTTGTGATGTTTGTATTCAACTCACAGAGTTGAACCTTCCTTTGATAGTTCAGGTTTGCAACACCCTTGTAGTAGAATCTGCAAGTGTATATTTTGACCACTTTGTAGCCTTCGTTTGAAACGTCTATATCTTCACATCAAACCTAGACAGAAGCATTCTCAGAAAGTTTTCTGCGATGACTGCATTCAACTCACAGAGTTGAACAATCCTTCTGATGGAGCAGTTTTGAAACCCTCTTTCTTTGGAATCTGCAAGGGGATATGTGGACCTCTTTGAAGATTTCACTGGAAACGGGATCATCTTCACATAAAAACTAAACAGAAGCATTCTCGGAAACTACTTTGTGATGTTTGTATTCAACTCCCAGAGTTGAACTTTCCTTTTGAAAGAGCAGCTATGAAACACTCTTTTTCGAGAATCTGCAAGTGGACGTTTGGAGGGCTTTGAGGCCTGTGGTGGAAAAGGAAATATCTTCACATAAAAACTAGATAGAAGCATTCTCAGAAACGACTTTGTGAGGATGGCATTCAACTCATGGAGTTGAACAATCCTATTGATAGAGCAGATTGGAATCACTCTTTTTGTAGAATCTGCAAATGGAGATTTGGACTGCTTTGAGGCCTACGGTAGTATAGGAAGGAACTTCATATAAAAGGCAAACGGAAGCATTCTCAGAATATTCTTTGTGATGATGGAGTTTCACTCACAGAGCTGAACATGCCTTTTGATGGAGCAGTTTCCAAATACACTTTTGGTAGAATCTGCAGGTGGATATTTGGAGCTCTCTGAGGATTTCGTTGGAAACGGGAATAATTTCCCATAACTAAACACAAACACTCTGAGAAAGTTCTTCATGATGAATGCATTTAACTCGCAGAGATGAACCTGCCTTTGAGAGTTCAGGTTCGAAACACTCTTTCTGTAGAATCTGCAAGTGGATATTTGGACCACTGGGTGGCCTTCGTTCGAAACGGGTATATGTTCACGTAAAAACTAAAGAGAAGCATTCTCAGAAACTTCTGAGTGATGATTGCATTCAAGTCACACAGTTGAACCCTCCTTTTGATGGAGCAGTTTTGAAACTGTCTTTTTGTAGAATCTGTAAGTGGATACGTGGACCTCTTTGAAGATTTCTTTGGAAACGGGAATATTTCCACAGAAAAACTAAACTGAAGCATTCTCAGAAACTGCTTTGTGATGTTTGTGTTCGAGCCACAGAGTTTAACATTGCTTTTCATAGAGCAGTTTTGAAATATTCTTTTGGCAGAATCTGCAAGTGGACATTTGGAGCGCTTTCAGGCCTGTGGTGGAAAAGGCCTGAAAGCCTTTTCCTTTATCTTCACAGAAAGACGAGAGAGAAGCATTGTCAGAAACTTCTTTGTGATGATTGCATTCAACTCACAGAGTTGAAGATTCCTTTTGAAACAGCAGTTTCGAAACACTCTTTCTGTGGGATCCGCAAGGGGATATTTGGACCTCTTTGAAGGTTTCGTTGGAAACGGGATAATCTTCACCTAAAAGCTCAACGGAAGCATTCTCAGAAACTTCTTTGGGATGTTTGCATTCACCTCACAGAGTTGAACTTTCCCTTTGATAGCGCAGCTTTGACACACTTTTTCTACAATGTGCAAGTGGCTATTTAGCGGGCTTGGAGGACTGTGTTGGAAAAGGAAATATCTTCTCCTAAAAACGACATAGAAGCATTCTCAGAAACTGCTCTGTGATGATTGCATTCAACTCCCAGAGTTGAACATTCCTTTTGATAGAGCAGTTTGCAAACACTCTTTTTGTAGAATCTGCAAGTGGAGATTTGGACCGCTTTGAGGCCTGTGGTAGTGAAGGAAAGAACTTCATATAAAAACCAGACGGTAGCACTCTCAGAAAATTCTTTGTGACGATGGAGTTTAACTCAGGGAGCTGAACATTCGTTATGATGGAGCAGTTTCCAAACACACGTTTTGTAGAATCTGCAAGGGGATATTTGGACCTCTCTGAGGATTTCGTTGGAAACGGGATCAACTTCCCATAACTGAACGGAAGCAAACTCAGAACATTCTTTGTGATGTTTGTATTCAACTCACAGAGTTGAACCTTCCTTTGATAGTTCAGGTTTGCAACACCCTTGTAGTAGAATCTGCAAGTGTATATTTTGACCACTTTGTAGCCTTCGTTTGAAACGTCTATATCTTCACATCAAACCTAGACAGAAGCATTCTCAGAAAGTTTTCTGCGATGACTGCATTCAACTCACAGAGTTGAACAATCCTTCTGATGGAGCAGTTTTGAAACCCTCTTTCTTTGGAATCTGCAAGGGGATATGTGGACCTCTTTGAAGATTTCACTGGAAACGGGATCATCTTCACATAAAAACTAAACAGAAGCATTCTCGGAAACTACTTTGTGATGTTTGTATTCAACTCCCAGAGTTGAAATTTCCTTTTGAAAGAGCAGCTATGAAACACTCTTTTTCGAGAATCTGCAAGTGGACGTTTGGAGGGCTTTGAGGCCTGTGGTGGAAAAGGAAATATCTTCACATAAAAACTAGATAGAAGCATTCTCAGAAACGACTTTGTGAGGATGGCATTCAACTCATGGAGTTGAACAATCCTATTGATAGAGCAGATTGGAATCACTCTTTTTGTAGAATCTGCAAATGGAGATTTGGACTGCTTTGAGGCCTACGGTCGTATAGGAAGGAACTTCATATAAAAGGCAAACGGAAGCATTCTCAGAATATTCTTTGTGATGATGGAGTTTCACTCACAGAGCTGAACATGCCTTTTGATGGAGCAGTTTCCAAATACACTTTTGGTAGAATCTGCAGGTGGATATTTGGAGCTCTCTGAGGATTTCGTTGGAAACGGGAATAATTTCCCATAACTAAACACAAACACTCTGAGAAAGTTCTTCATGATGAATGCATTTAACTCGCAGAGATGAACCTGCCTTTGAGAGTTCAGGTTCGAAACACTCTTTCTGTAGAATCTGCAAGTGGATATTTGGACCACTGGGTGGCCTTCGTTCGAAACGGGTATATGTTCACGTAAAAGCTAAAGAGAAGCATTCTCAGAAACTTGTGAGTGATGATTGCATTCAAGTCACACAGTTGAACCCTCCTTTTGATGGAGCAGTTTTGAAACTGTCTTTTTGTAGAATCTGTAAGTGGATACGTGGACCTCTTTGAAGATTTCTTTGGAAACGGGAATATTTCCACAGAAAAACTAAACTGAAGCATTCTCAGAAACCGCTTTGTGATGTTTGTGTTCGAGCCGCAGAGTTTAACATTGCTTTTCATAGAGCAGTTTTGAAATATTCTTTTGGCAGAATCTGCAAGTGGACATTTGGAGCGCTTTCAGGCCTGTGGTGGAAAAGGCCTGAAAGCCTTTTCCTTTATCTTCACAGAAAGACGAGAGAGAAGCATTGTCAGAAACTTCTTTGTGATGATTGCATTCAACTCACAGAGTTGAAGATTCCTTTTGAAACAGCAGTTTCGAAACTCTCTTTCTGTGGGATCCGCAAGGGGATATTTGGACCTCTTTGAAGGTTTCGTTGGAAACGGGATAATCTTCACCTAAAAGCTAAACGGAAGCATTCTCAGAAACTTCTTTGGGATGTTTGCATTCACCTCACAGAGTTGAACTTTCCCTTTGATAGCGCAGCTTTGACACACGTTTTCTACAATGTGCAAGTGGCTATTTAGCGGGCTTGGAGGACTGTGTTGGAAAAGGAAATATCTTCTCCTAAAAACGACATAGAAGCATTCTCAGAAACTGCTCTGTGATGATTGCATTCAACTCCCAGAGTTGAACATTCCTTTTGATAGAGCAGTTTGCAAACACTCTTTTTGTAGAATCTGCAAGTGGAGATTTGGACCGCTTTGAGGCCTGTGGTAGTGAAGGAAAGAACTTCATATAAAAACCAGACGGTAGCACTCTCAGAAAATTCTTTGTGACGATGGAGTTTAACTCGGGGAGCTGAACATTCGTTATGATGGAGCAGTTTCCAAACACACGTTTTGTAGAATCTGCAAGGGGATATTTGGACCTCTCTGAGGATTTCGTTGGAAACGGGATCAACTTCCCATAACTGAACGGAAGCAAACTCAGAACATTCTTTGTGATGTTTGTATTCAACTCACAGAGTTGAACCTTCCTTTGATAGTTCAGGTTTGCAACACCCTTGTAGTAGAATCTGCAAGTGTATATTTTGACCACTTTGTAGCCTTCGTTTGAAACGTCTATATCTTCACATCAAACCTAGACAGAAGCATTCTCAGAAAGTTTTCTGCGATGACTGCATTCAACTCACAGAGTTGAACAATCCTTTTGATGGAGCAGTTTTGAAACCCTCTTTCTTTGGAATCTGCAAGGGGATATGTGGACCTCTTTGAAGATTTCACTGGAAACGGGATCATCTTCACATAAAAACTAAATAGAAGCATTCTCGGAAACTATTTTGTGATGTTTGTATTCAACTCCCAGAGTTGAACTTTCCTTTTGAAAGAGCAGCTATGAAACACTCTTTTTCGAGAATCTGCAAGTGGACGTTTGGAGGGCTTTGAGGCCTGTGGTGGAAAAGGAAATATCTTCACACAAAAACCAGATAGAAGCATTCTCAGAAACTACTTTGTGAGGATGGCATTCAACTCATGGAGTTGAACAATCCTATTGATAGAGCAGATTGGAATCACTCTTTTTGTAGAATCTGCAAATGGAGATTTGGACTGCTTTGAGGCCTACGGTAGTACAGGAAGGAACTTCATATAAAAGGCAAACGGAAGCATTCTCAGAATATTCTTTGTGATGATGGAGTTTCACTCACAGAGCTGAACATGCCTTTTGATGGAGCAGTTTCCAAATACACTTTTGGTAGAATCTGCAGGTGGATATTTGGAGCTCTCTGAGGATTTCTTTGGAAACGGGAATAATTTCCCATAACTAAACACAAATACTCTGAGAAAGTTCTTCATGATGAATGCATTTAACTCGCAGAGATGAACCTTCCTTTGAGAGTTCAGGTTCGAAACACTCTTTCTGTAGAATCTGCAAGTGGATATTTGGACCACTGGGTGGCCTTCGTTCGAAACGGGTATATGTTCACGTAAAAACTAAAGAGAAGCATTCTCAGAAACTTCTGAGTGATGATTGCATTCAAGTCACACAGTTGAACCCTCCTTTTGATGGAGCAGTTTTGAAACTGTCTTTTTGTAGAATCTGTAAGTGGATACGTGGACCTCTTTGAAGATTTCTTTGGAAACGGTAATATTTCCACAGAAAAACTAAACTGAAGCATTCTCAGAAACTGCTTTGTGATGTTTGTGTTCGAGCCACAGAGTTTAACATTGCTTTTCATAGAGCAGTTTTGAAATATTCTTTTCGCAGAATCTGCAAGTGGACATTTGGAGCGCTTTCAGGCCTGTGGTGGAAAAGGCCTGAAAGCCTTTTCCTTTATCTTCACAGAAAGACGAGAGAGAAGCATTGTCAGAAACTTCTTTGTGATGATTGCATTCAACTCACAGAGTTGAAGATTCCTTTTGAAACAGCTGTTTCGAAACACTCTTTCTGTGGGATCCCCAAGGGGATATTTGGACCTCTTTGAAGGTTTCGTTGGAAACGGGATAATCTTCACCTAAAAGCTAAACGGAAGCATTCTCAGAAACTTCTTTGGGATGTTTGCATTCACCTCACAGAGTTGAACTTTCCCTTTGATAGCGCAGCTTCGACACACTTTTTCTACAATGTGCAAGTGGATATTTAGCGGGCTTGGAGGACTGTGTTGGAAAAGGAAATATCTTCTCCTAAAAACGACATAGAAGCATTCTCAGAAACTGCTCTGTGATGATTGCATTCAACTCCCAGAGTTGAACATTCCTTTTGATAGAGCAGTTTGCAAACACTCTTTTTGTAGAATCTGCAAGTGGAGATTTGGACCGCTTTGAGGCCTGTGGTAGTAAAGGGAAGAACTTCATATAAAAACCAGACGGTAGCACTCTCAGAAAATTCTTTGTGACGATGGAGTTTAACTCAGAGAGCTGAACATTCGTTATGATGGAGCAGTTTCCAAACACACGTTTTGTAGAATCTGCAAGGGGATATTTGGACCTCTCTGAGGATTTCGTTGGAAACGGGATCAACTTCCCATAACTGAACGGTAGCAAACTCAGAACATTCTTTGTGATGTTTGTATTCAACTCACAGAGTTGAACCTTCCTTTGATAGTTCAGGTTTGCAACACCCTTGTAGTAGAATCTGCAAGTGTATATTTTGACCACTTTGTAGCCTTCGTTTGAAACGTCTATATCTTCACCTCAAACCTAGACAGAAGCATTCTCAGAAAGTTTTCTGCGATGACTGCATTCAACTCACAGAGTTGAACAATCCTTTCGATGGAGCAGTTTTGAAACCCTCTTTCTTTGGAATCTGCAAGGGGATATGTGGACCTCTTTGAAGATTTCACTGGAAACGGGATCATCTTCACATAAGAACTAAACAGAAGCATTCTCGGAAACTACTTTGTGATGTTTGTATTCAACTCCCAGAGTTGAACTTTCCTTTTGAAAGAGCGGCTATGAAACACTCTTTTTCGAGAATCTGCAAGTTGACGTTTGGAGGGCTTTGAGGCCTGTGGTGGAAAAGGAAATATCTTCACATAAAAACTAGATAGAAGCATTCTCAGAAACGACTTTGTGAGGATGGCATTCAACTCATGGAGTTGAACAATCCTATTGATAGAGCAGATTGGAATCACTCTTTTTGTAGAATCTGCAAATGGAGATTTGGACTGCTTTGAGGCCTACGGTAGTATAAGAAGGAACTTCATATAAAAGGCAAAAGGAAGCATTCTCAGAATATCTCCTTTGTGATGATGGAGTTTCACTCACAGAGCTGAACATGCCTTTTGATGGAGCAGTTTCCAAATACACTTTTGGTAGAATCTGCAGGTGGATATTTGGACCTCTCTGAGGATTTCGTTGGAAACGGGAATAATTTCCCATAACTAAACACAAACACTCTGAGAAAGTTCTTCATGATGAATGCATTTAACTCGCAGAGATGAACCTGCCTTTGAGAGTTCAGGTTCGAAACACTCTTTCTGTAGAATCTGCAAGTGGATATTTGGACCACTGGCTGGCCTTCGTTCGAAACGGGTATATGTTCACGTAAAAACTAAAGAGAAGCATTCTCAGAAACTTCTGAGTGATGATTGCATTCAAGTCACACAGTTGAACCCTCCTTTTGATGGAGCAGTTTTGAAACTGTCTTTTTGTAGAATCTGTAAGTGGATACGTGGACCTCTTTGAAGATTTCTTTGGAAACGGGAATATTTCCACAGAAAAACTAAACTGAAGCATTCTCAGAAACTGCTTTGTGATGTTTGTGTTCGAGCCACAGAGTTTAACATTGCTTTTCATAGAGCAGTTTTGAAATATTCTTTTGGCAGAATCTGCAAGTGGACATTTGGAGCGCTTTCAGGCCTGTGGTGGAAAAGGCCTGAAAGCCTTTTCCTTTATCTTCACAGAAAGACGAGAGAGAAGCATTGTCAGAAACTTCTTTGTGATGATTGCATTCAACTCACAGAGTTGAAGATTCCTTTTGAAACAGCAGTTTCGAAACACTCTTTCTGTGGGATCCGCAAGGGGATATTTGGACCTCTTTGAAGGTTTCGTTGGAAACGGGATAATCTTCACCTAAAAGCTAAACGGAAGCATTCTCAGAAACTTCTTTGGGATGTTTGCATTCACCTCACAGAGTTGAACTTTCCCTTTGATAGCGCAGCTTTGACACACTGTTTCTACAATGTGCAAGTGGCTATTTAGCGGGCTTGGAGGACTGTGTTGGAAAAGGAAATATCTTCTCCTAAAAACGACATAGAAGCATTCTCAGAAACTGCTCTGTGATGATTGCATTCAACTCCCAGAGTTGAACATTCCTTTTGATAGAGCAGTTTGCAAACACTCTTTTTGTAGAATCTGCAAGTGGAGATTTGGACCGCTTTGAGGTCTGTGGTAGTGAAGGAAAGAGCTTCATATAAAAACCAGACGGTAGCACTCTCAGTAAAATTCTTTGTGACGATAGAGTTTAACTCAGAGAGCTGAACATTCGTTATGATGGAGCAGTTTCCAAACACACATTTTGTAGAATCTGCAAAGGGATATTTGGACCTCTCTGAGGATTTCGTTGGAAATGGGATCAACTTCCCATAACTGAACGGAAGCAAACTCAGAACATTCTTTGTGATGTTTGTATTCAACTCACAGAGTTGAACCTTCCTTTGATAGTTGAGGTTTGCATCACCCTTGTAGTAGAATCTGCAAGTGTATATTTTGACCACTTTGTAGCCTTCGTTTGAAACGTCTATATCTTCACATCAAACCTAAACAGAAGCATTCTCAGAAAGTTTTCTGCGATGACTGCATTCAACTCACAGAGTTGAACAATCCTTTTGATGGAGCAGTTTTGAAACCCTCTTTCTTTGGAATCTGCAAGGGGATATGTGGACCTCTTTCAAGATTTCACTGGAAACGGGATCATCTTCACATAAGAACTAAACAGAAGCATTCTCGGAAACTACTTTGTGATGTTTGTATTCAACTCCCAGAGTTGAACTTTCCTTTTGAAAGAGCAGCTATGAAACACTCTTTTTCGAGAATCTGCAAGTGGACGTTTGGAGGGCTTTGAGGCCTGTGGTGGAAAAGGAAATATCTTCACATAAAAACTAGATAGAAGCATTCTCAGAAACGACTTTGTGAGGATGGCATTCAACTCATGGAGTTGAACAATCCTATTGATAGAGCAGATTGGAATCACTCTTTTTGTAGAATCTGCAAAGGGAGATTTGGACTGCTTTGAGGCCTACGGTAGTATAGGAAGGAACTTCATATAAAAGGCAAACGGAGCATTCTCAGAATATTCTTTGTGATGATGGAGTTTCACTCACAGAGCTGAACATGCCTTTTGATGGAGCAGTTTCCAAATACACTTTTGGTAGAATCTGCAGGTGGATATTTGGACCTGTCGGAGGATTTCGTTGGAAACGGGAATAATTTCCCATAACTAAACACAAACAGCATTCTCAGAAACTTCTGAGTGATGATTGCATTCAAGTCACACAGTTGAACCCGCCTTTTGATTGAGCAGTTTTGAAACTGTCTTTTTGTAGAATCTGTAAGTGGATACGTGGACCTCTTGGAAGATTTCCTTGGAAACGGGAATATTTCCACAGAAAAACTAAACTGAAGCATTCTCAGAAACTGCTTTGTGATGTTGGTGTTCGAGCCGCAGAGTTTAACATTGCTTTTCATAGAGCAGTTTTGAAATATTCTTTTGGCAGAATCTGCAAGTGGACATTTGGAGCGCTTTCAGGCCTGTGGTGGAAAAGGCCTGAAAGCCTTTTCCTTTATCTTCACAGAAAGACGAGAGAGAAGCATTGTCAGAAACTTCTTTGTGATGATTGCATTCAACTCACAGAGTTGAAGATTCCTTTTGAAACAGCAGTTTCGAAACACTCTTTCTGTGGGATCCGCAAGGGGATATTTGGACCTCTTTGAAGATTTCGTTGGAAACGGGATAATCTTCACCTAAAAGCTAAACGGAAGCATTCTCAGAAACTTCTTTGGGATGTTTGCATTCACCTCACAGAGTTGAACTTTCCCTTTGATAGCGCAGCTTCGACACACTTTTTCTACAATGTGCAAGTGGATATTTAGCGGGCTTGGAGGACTGTGTTGGAAAAGGAAATATCTTCTCCTAAAAACGACATAGAAGCATTCTCAGAAACTGCTCTGTGATGATTGCATTCAACTCCCAGAGTTGAACATTCCTTTTGATAGAGCAGTTTGCAGACACTCTTTTTGTAGAATCTGCAAGTGGAGATTTGGACCGCTTTGAGGCCTGTGGTAGTAAAGGAAAGAACTTCATATAAAAACTAGACGGTAGCACTCTCAGAAAATTCTTTGTGACGATGGAGTTTAACTCAGAGAGCTGAACATTCGTTATGATGGAGCAGTTTCCAAACACACGTTTTGTAGAATCTGCAAGGGGATATTTGGACCTCTCTGAGGATTTCGTTGGAAACGGGATCAACTTCCCATAACTGAACGGAAGCAAACTCAGAACATTCTTTGTGATGTTTGTATTCAACTCACAGAGTTGAACCTTCCTTTGATAGTTCAGGTTTGCAACAGCCTTGTAGTAGAATCTGCAAGTGTATATTTTGACCACTTTGTAACCTTCGTTTAAAACGTCTATATCTTCACATCAAACCTAGACAGAAGCATTCTCAGAAAGTTTTCTGCGATGACTGCATTCAACTCACAGAGTTGAACAATCCTTCTGATGGAGCAGTTTTGAAACCCTCTTTCTTTGGAATCTGCAAGGGGATATGTGGACCTCTTTGAAGATTTCACTGGAAACGGGATCATCTTCACATAAAAACTAAACAGAAGCATTCTCGGAAACTACTTTGTGATGTTTGTATTCAACTCCCAGAGTTGAACTTTCCTTTTGAAAGAGCAGCTATGAAACACTCTTTTTCGAGAATCTGCAAGTGGACGTTTGGAGGGCTTTGAGGCCTGTGGTGGAAAAGGAAATATCTTCACATAAAAACTAGATAGAAGCATTCTCAGAAACGACTTTGTGAGGATGGCATTCAACTCATGGAGTTGAACAATCCTATTGATAGAGCAGATTGGAATCACTCTTTTTGTAGAATCTGCAAATGGAGATTTGGACTGCTTTGAGGCCTACGGTCGTATAGGAAGGAACTTCATATAAAAGGCAAACGGAAGCATTCTAAGAATATTCTTTATGATGATGGAGTTTCACTCACAGAGCTGAACATGCCTTTTGATGGAGCAGTTTCCAAATACACTTTTGGTAGAATCTGCAGGTGGATATTTGGAGCTCTCTGAGGATTTCGTTGGAAACGGGAATAATTTCCCATAACTAAACACAAACACGCTGAGAAAGTTCTTCATGATGAATGCATTTAACTCGCAGAGATGAACCTGCCTTTGAGAGTTCAGGTTCGAAACACTCCTTCTGTAGAATCTGCAAGTGGATATTTGGACCACTGGCTGGCCTTCGTTCGAAACGGGTATATGTTCACGTAAAAACTAAAGAGAAGCATTCTCAGAAACTTCTGAGTGATGATTGCATTCAAGTCACACAGTTGAACCCTCCTTTTGATGGAGCAGTTTTGAAACTGTCTTTTTGTAGAATCTGTAAGTGGATACGTGGACCTCTTTAAGATTTCTTTGGAAACGGGAATATTTCCACAGAAAAACTAAACTGAAGCATTCTCAGAAACCGCTTTGTGATGTTTGTGTTCGAGCCACAGAGTTTAACATTGCTTTTCACAAAGCAGTTTTGAAATATTCTTTTCGCAGAATCTGCAAGTGGACATTTGGAGCGCTTTCAGGCCTGTGGTGGCAAAGGCCTGAAAGCATTCATTTATCTTCACAGAAAGACGAGAGAGAAGCATTGTCAGAAACTTCTTTGTGATGATTGCATTCAACTCACAGAGTTGAAGATTCCTTTTGAAACAGCAGTTTCGAAACACTCTTTCTGTGGGATCCGCAAGGGGATATTTGGACTTCTTTGAAGGTTTCGTTGGAAACGGGATAATCTTCACCTAAAAGCTAAACGGAAGCACTCTCAGAAACTTCTTTGGGATGTTTGCATTCACCTCTCAGAGTTGAACTTTCCCTTTGATAGCCCAGCTTTGACACACTTTTTCTACAATGTGCAAGTGGCTATTTAGCGGACTTGGAGGACTGTGTTGGAAAAGGAAATATCTTCTCCTAAAAACGACATAGAAGCATTCTCAGAAACTGCTCTGTGATGATTGCATTCAACTCCCAGAGTTGAACATTCCTTTTGATAGAGCAGTTTGCAAACACTCTTTTTGTAGAATCTGCAAGTGGAGACTTGGACCGCTTTGAGGCCAGTGGTAGTGAAGGAAAGAACTTCATATAAAAACCAGACGGTAGCACTCTCAGAAAATTCTTTGTGACGATGGAGTTTAACTCAGGGAGCTGAACATTCGTTATGATGGAGCAGTTTCCAAACACACGTTTTGTAGAATCTGCAAGGGGATATTTGGACCTCTCTGAGGATTTCGTTGGAAACGGGATCAACTTCCCATAACTGAACGGAAGCAAACTCAGAACATTCTTTTTGATGTTTGTATTCAACTCACAGAGTTGAACCTTCCTTTGATAGTTCAGGTTTGCAACACCCTTGTAGTAGAATCTGCAAGTGTATATTTTGACCACTTTGTAGCCTTCGTTTGAAACGTCTATATCTTCACATCAAACCTAGACAGAAGCATTCTCAGAAAGTTTTCTGCGATGACTGCATTCAACTCACAGAGTTGAACAATCCTTCTGATGGAGCAGTTTTGAAACCCTCTTTCTTTGGAATCTGCAAGGGGATATGTGGACCTCTTTGAAGATTTCACTGGAAACGGGATCATCTTCACATAAAAACTAAACAGGAAGCATTCTCGGAAACTACTTTGTGATGTTTGCATTCAACTGCCAGAGTTGAACATTCCTTTTGAAAGAGCAGCTATGAAACACTCTTTTTGGAGAATCTACAAGTGGACGTTTGGAGGGCTTTGAGGCCTGTGGTGGAAAAGGAAATATCTTCACATAAAAACTAGATAGAAGCATTCTCAGAAATTAATTTGTGACGATGGCATTCAACTCACGGAGTTGAACAATCCTATTGATAGAGCAGATTGGAAACACTCTTTTTGTAGAATCTGCAAATGGAGATTTGGACTGCTTTGAGGCCTACGGTAGTATAGGAAGGAAATTCATAAAAAAGCAAACGGAAGCATTCTCAGAATATTCTTTGTGATGATGGAGTTTCACTCACAGAGCTGAACATGCCTTTTGATGGAGCAGTTTCCAAATACACTTTTGGTAGAATCTGCAGGTGGATATTTGGAGCTCTCTGAGGATTTCGTTGGAAACGGGAATAATTTCCCATAACTAAACACAAACACTCTGAGAAAGTTCTTCATGATGAATGCATTTAACTCGCAGAGATGAACCTGCCTTTGAGAGTTCAGGTTCGAAACACTCTTTCTGTAGAATCTGCAAGTGGATATTTGGACCACTGGGTGGCCTTCGTTCGAAACGGGTATATGTTCACGTAAAAACTAAAGAGAAGCATTCTCAGAAACTTCTGAGTGATGATTGCATTCAAGTCACACAGTTGAACCCTCCTTTTGATGGAGCAGTTTTGAAACTGTCTTTTTGTAGAATCTGTAAGTGGATACATGGACCTCTTTGAAGATTTCTTTGGAAACGGGAATATTTCCACAGAAAAACTAAACTGAAACATTCTCAGAAACCGCTTTGTGATGTTTGTGTTCCAGCCACAGAGTTTAACATTGCTTTTCATAGAGCAGTTTTGAAATATTCTTTTCGCAGAATCTGCAAGTGGACATTTGGAGCGCTTTCAGGCCTGTGGTGGAACAGGCCTGAAAGCCTTTTCCTTTATCTTCACAGAAAGACGAGAGAGAAGCATTGTCAGAAACTTCTTTGTGATGATTGCATTCAACTCACAGAGTTGAAGATTCCTTTTGAAACAGCAGTTTCGAAACACTCTTTCTGTGGGATCCGCAAGGGGATATTTGGACCTCTTTGAAGGTTTCGTTGGAAACGGGATAATCTTCACCTAAAAGCTAAACGGAAGCATTCTCAGAAACTTCTTTGGGATGTTTGCATTCACCTCACAGAGTTGAACTTTCCCTTTGATAGCGCAGCTTTGACACACTTTTTCTACAATGTGCAAGTGGCTATTTAGCGGGCTTGGAGGACTGTGTTGGAAAAGGAAATATCTTCTCCTAAAAACGACATAGAAGCATTCTCAGAAACTGCTCTGTGATGATTGCATTCAACTCCCAGAGTTGAACATTCCTTTTGATAGAGCAGTTTGCAAACACTCTTTTTGTAGAATCTGCAAGTGGAGATTTGGACCGCTTTGAGGCCTGTGGTAGTGAAGGAAAGAACTTCATATAAAAACCAGACGGTAGCACTCTCAGAAAATTCTTTGTGACGATGGAGTTTAACTCAGGGAGCTGAACATTCGTTATGATGGAGCAGTTTCCAAACACACGTTTTGTAGAATCTGCGAGGGGATATTTGGACCTCTCTGAGGATTTCTTTGGAAACGGGATCAACTTCCCATAACTGAACGGAAGCAAACTCAGAACATTCTTTGTGATGTTTGTATTCAACTCACAGAGTTGAACCTTCCTTTGATAGTTCAGGTTTGCAACACCCTTGTAGTAGAATCTGCAAGTGTATATTTTGACCACTTTGTAGCCTTCGTTTGAAACGTCTATATCTTCACATCAAACCTAGAAAGAAGCATTCTCAGAAAGTTTTCTGCGATGACTGCATTCAACTCACAGAGTTGAACAATCCTTCTGATGGAGCAGTTTTGAAACCCTCTTTCTTTGGAATCTGCAAGGGGATATGTGGACCTCTTTGAAGATTTCACTGGAAACGGGATCATCTTCACATAAAAACTAAACAGAAGCATTCTCGGAAACTACTTTGTGATGTTTGTATTCAACTCCCAGAGTTGAACTTTCCTTTTGAAAGAGCAGCTATGAAACACTCTTTTTCGAGAATCTGCAAGTGGACGTTTGGAGGGCTTTGAGGCCTGTGGTGGAAAAGGAAATATCTTCACATAAAAACTAGATAGAAGCATTCTCAGAAACTACTTCGTGAGGATGGCATTCAACTCATGGAGTTGAACAATCCTATTGATAGAGCAGATTGGAATCACTCTTTTTGTAGAATCTGCAAATGGAGATTTGGACTGCTTTGAGGCCTACGGTAGTATAGGAAGGAACTTCATATAAAAGGCAAACGGAAGCATTCTCAGAATATTCTTTGTGATGATGGAGTTTCACTCACAGAGCTGAACATGCCTTTTGATGGAGCAGTTTCCAAATACACTTTTGGTAGAATCTGCAGGTGGATATTTGGAGCTCTCTGAGGATTTCGTTGGAAACGGGAATAATTTCCCATAACTAAACACAAACACTCTGAGAAAGTTCTTCATGATGAATGCATTTAACTCGCAGAGATGAACCTGCCTTTGAGAGTTCAGGTTCGAAACACTCTTTCTGTAGAATCTGCAAGTGGATATTTGGACCACTGGGTGGCCTTCGTTCGAAACGGGTATATGTTCACGTAAAAACTAAAGAGAAGCATTCTCAGAAACTTCTGAGTGATGATTGCATTCAAGTCACACAGTTGAACCCTCCTTTTGATGGAGCAGTTTTGAAACTGTCTTTTTGTAGAATCTGTAAGTGGATACGTGGACCTCTTTGAAGATTTCTTTGAAACGGGAATATTTCCACAGAAAAACTAAACTGAAGCATTCTCAGAAACTGCTTTGTGATGTTTGTGTTCGAGCCACAGAGTTTAACATTGCTTTTCATAGAGCAGTTTTGAAATATTCTTTTCGCAGAATCTGCAAGTGGACATTTGGAGCGCTTTCAGGCCTGTGGTGGAAAAGGCCTGAAAGCCTTTTCCTTTATCTTCACAGAAAGACGAGAGAGAAGCATTGTCAGAAACTTCTTTGTGATGATTGCATTCAACTCACAGAGTTGAAGATTCCTTTTGAAACAGCAGTTTCGAAACACTCTTTCTGTGGGATCCGCAAGGGGATATTTGGACCTCTTTGAAGGTTTCGTTGGAAACGGGATAATCTTCACCTAAAAGCTAAACGGAAGCATTCTCAGAAACTTCTTTGGGATGTTTGCATTCACCTCACAGAGTTGAACTTTCCCTTTGATAGCGCAGCTTTGACACACTTTTTCTACAATGTGCAAGTGGCTATTTAGCGGGCTTGGAGGACTGTGTTGGAAAAGGAAATATCTTCTCCTAAAAACGACATAGAAGCATTCTCAGAAACTGCTCTGTGATGATTGCATTCAACTCCCAGAGTTGAACATTCCTTTTGATAGAGCAGTTTGCAAACACTCTTTTTGTAGAATCTGCAAGTGGAGATTTGGACCGCTTTGAGGCCTGTGGTAGTGAAGGAAAGAACTTCATATAAAAACCAGATGGTAGCACTCTCAGAAAATTCTTTGTGACGATGGAGTTTAACTCAGGGAGCTGAACATTCGTTATGATGGAGCAGTTTCCAAACACACGTTTTGTAGAATCTGCAAGGGGATATTTGAACCTCTCTGAGGATTTCGTTGGAAACGGGATCAACTTCCCATAACTGAACGGAAGCAAACTCAGAACATTCTTTGTGATGTTTGTATTCAACTGACGGAGTTGAACCTTCCTTTGATAGTTCAGGTTTGCAACACCCTTGTAGTAGAATCTGCAAGTGTATATTTTGACCACTTTGTAGCCTTCGTTTGAAACGTCTATATCTTCACATCAAACCTAGACAGAAGCATTCTCAGAAAGTTTTCTGCGATGACTGCATTCAACTCACAGAGTTGAACAATCCTTCTGATGGAGCAGTTTTGAAACCCTCTTTCTTTGGAATCTGCAAGGGGATATGTGGACCTCTTTGAAGATTTCACTGGAAACGGGATCATCTTCACATAAAACTAAACAGAAGCATTCTCGGAAACTACTTTGGGATGTTTGTATTCAACTCCCAGAGTTGAACTTCCCTTTTGAAAGAGCAGCTATGAAACACTCTTTTTCGAGAATCTGCAAGTGGACGTTTGGAGGGCTTTGAGGCCTGTGGTGGAAAGGGAAATATCTTCACATAAAAACTAGATAGAAGCATTCTCAGAAACGACTTTGTGAGGATGGCATTCAACTCATGGAGTTGAACAATCCTATTGATAGAGCAGATTGGAATCACTCTTTTTGTAGAATCTGCAAATGGAGATTTGGACTGCTTTGAGGCCTACGGTAGTATAGGAAGGAACTTCATATAAAAGGCAAACGGAAGCATTCTCAGAATATTCTTTGTGATGATGGAGTTTCACTCACAGAGCTGAACATGCCTTTTGATGGAGCAGTTTCCAAATACACTTTTGGTAGAATCTGCAGGTGGATATTTGGAGCTCTCTGAGGATTTCGTTGGAAATGGGAATAATTTCCCATAACTAAACACAAACACTCTGAGAAAGTTCTTCATGATGAATGCATTTAACTCGCAGAGATGAACCTGCCTTTGAGAGTTCAGGTTCGAAACACTCTTTCTGTAGAATCTGCAAGTGGATATTTGGACCACTGGGTGGCCTTCGTTCTAAACGGGTATATGTTCACGTAAAAACTAAAGAGAAGCATTCTCAGAAACTTCTGAGTGATGATTGCATTCAAGTCACACAGTTGAACCCTCCTTTTGATGGAGCAGTTTTGAAACTGTCTTTTTGTAGAATCTGTAAGTGGATACGTGGACCTCTTTGAAGATTTCTTTGGAAACGGGAATATTTCCACAGAAAAACTAAACTGAAGCATTCTCAGAAACCGCTTTGTGATGTTTGTGTTCGAGCCACAGAGTTTAACATTGCTTTTCATAGAGCAGTTTTGAAATATTCTTTTGGCAGAATCTGCAAGTGGACATTTGGAGCGCTTTCAGGCCTGTGGTGGAAAAGGCCTGAAAGCCTTTTCCTTTATCTTCACAGAAAGACGAGAGAGAAGCATTGTCAGAAACTTCTTTGTGATGATTGCATTCAACTCACAGAGTTGAAGATTCCTTTTGAAACAGCAGTTTCGAAACACTCTTTCTGTGGGATCCGCAAGGGGATATTTGGACCTCTTTGAAGGTTTCGTTGGAAACGGGATAATCTTCACCTAAAAGCTAAACGGAAGCATTCTCAGAAACTTCTTTGGGATGTTTGCATTCACCTCACAGAGTTGAACTTTCCCTTTGATAGCGCAGCTTTGACACACTTTTTCTACAATGTGCAAGTGGCTATTTAGCGGGCTTGGAGGACTGTGTTGGAAAAGGAAATATCTTCTCCTAAAAACGACATAGAAGCACTCTCAGAAAATTCTTTGTGACGATGGAGTTTAACTCAGGGAGCTGAACATTCGTTATGATGGAGCAGTTTCCAAACACACGTTTTGTAGAATCTGCAAGGGGATATTTGGACCTCTCTGAGGATTTCGTTGGAAACGGGATCAACTTCCCATAACTGAACGGAAGCAAACTCAGAACATTCTTTGTGATGTTTGTATTCAACTCACAGAGTTGAACCTTCCTTTGATAGTTCAGGTTTGCAACACCCTTGTAGTAGAATCTGCAAGTGTATATTTTGACCACTTTGTAGCCTTCATTTGAAACGTCTATATCTTCACATCAAACCTAGACAGAAGCATTCTCAGAAAGTTTTCTGCGATGACTGCATTCAACTCACAGAGTTGAACAATCCTTCTGATGGAGCAGTTTTGAAACCCTCTTTCTTTGGAATCTGCAAGGGGATATGTGGACCTCTTTGAAGATTTCACTGGAAACGGGATCATCTTCACATAAAAACTAAACAGAAGCATTCTCGGAAACTATTTTGTGATGTTTGCATTCAACTCCCAGAGTTGAACTTTCCTTTTGAAAGAGCAGCTATGAAACACTCTTTTTCGAGAATCTGCAAGTGGACGTTTGGAGGGCTTTGAGGCCTGTGGTGGAAAAGGAAATATCTTCACACAAAAACCAGATAGAAGCATTCTCAGAAACTACTTTGTGAGGATGGCATTCAACTCATGGAGTTGAACAATCCTATTGATAGAGCAGATTGGAATCACTCTTTTTGTAGAATCTGCAAATGGAGATTTGGTCTGCTTTGAGGCCTACGGTAGTACAGGAAGGAACTTCATATAAAAGGCAAACGGAAGCATTCTCAGAATATTCTTTGTGATGATGGAGTTTTACTCACAGAGCTGAACATGCCTTTTGATGGAGCAGTTTCCAAATACACTTTTGGTAGAATCTGCAGGTGGATATTTGGAGCTCTCTGAGGATTTCGTTGGAAACGGGAATAATTTCCCATAACTAAACACAAACACTCTGAGAAAGTTCTTCATGATGAATGCATTTAACTCGCAGAGATGAACCTGCCTTTGAGAGTTCAGGTTCGAAACACTCTTTCTGTATAATCTGCAAGTGGATATTTGGACCACTGGGTGGCCTTCGTTCGAAACGGGTATATGTTCACGTAAAAACTAAAGAGAAGCATTCTCAGAAACTTCTGAGTGATGATTGCATTCAAGTCACACAGTTGAACCCTCCTTTTGATGGAGCAGTTTTGAAACTGTCTTTTTGTAGAATCTGTAAGTGGATACGTGGACCTCTTTGAAGATTTCTTTGGAAACGGGAATATTTCCACAGAAAAACTAAACTGAAACATTCTCAGAAACCGCTTTGTGATGTTTGTGTTCCAGCCACAGAGTTTAACATTGCTTTTCATAGAGCAGTTTTGAAATATTCTTTTGGCAGAATCTGCAAGTGGACATTTGGAGCGCTTTCAGGCCTGTGGTGGAAAAGGCCTGAAAGCCTTTTCCTTTATCTTCACAGAAAGACGAGAGAGAAGCATTGTCAGAAACTTCTTTGTGATGATTGCATTCAACTCACAGAGTTGAAGATTCCTTTTGAAACATCAGTTTCGAAACACTCTTTCTGTGGGATCCGCAAGGGGATATTTGGACCTCTTTGAAGGTTTCGTTGGAAACGGGATAATCTTCACCTAAAAGCTAAACGGAAGCATTCTCAGAAACTTCTTTGGGATGTTTGCATTCACCTCACAGAGTTGAACTTTCCCTTTGATAGCGCAGCTTTGACACACTTTTTCTACAATGTGCAAGTGGCTATTTAGCGGGCTTGGAGGACTGTGTTGGAAAAGGAAATATCTTCTCCTAAAAACGACATAGAAGCATTCTCAGAAACTGCTCTGTGATGATTGCATTCAACTCCCAGAGTTGAACATTCCTTTTGATAGAGCAGTTTGCAAACACTCTTTTTGTAGAATCTGCAAGTGGAGATTTGCACCGCTTTGAGGTCTGTGGTAGTGAAGGAAAGAACTTCATATAAAAACCAGACGGTAGCACTCTCAGAAAATTCTTTGTGACCATGGAGTTTAACTCAGGGAGCTGAACATTCGTTATGATGGAGCAATTTCCAAACACACGTTTTGTAGAATCTGCAAGGGGATATTTGGACCTCTCTGAGGATTTCGTTGGAAACGGGATCAACTTCCCATAACTGAACGGAAGCAAACTCAGAACATTCTTTGTGATGTTTGTATTCAACTCACAGAGTTGAACCTTCCTTTGATAGTTCAGGTTTGCAACACCCTTGTAGTAGAATCTGCAAGTGTATATTTTGACCACTTTGTAGCCTTCGTTTGAAACGTCTATATCTTCACATCAAACCTAGACAGAAGCATTCTCAGAAAGTTTTCTGCGATGACTGCATTCAACTCACAGAGTTGAACAATCCTTCTGATGGAGCAGTTTTGAAACCCTCTTTCTTTGGAATCTGCAAGGGGATATGTGGACCTCTTTGAAGATTTCACTGGAAACGGGATCATCTTCACATAAAAACTAAACAGAAGCATTCTCGGAAACTACTTTGTGATGTTTGTATTCAACTTCCAGAGTTGAACTTTCCTTTTGAAAGAGCAGCTATGAAACACTCTTTTTCGAGAATCTGCAAGTGGACGTTTGGAGGGCTTTGAGGCCTGTGGTGGAAAAGGAAATATCTTCACATAAAAACTAGATAGAAGCATTCTCAGAAACGACTTTGTGAGGATGGCATTCAACTCATGGAGTTGAACAATCCTATTGATAGAGCAGATTGGAATCACTCTTTTTGTAGAATCTGCAAATGGAGATTTGGACTGCTTTGAGGCCTACGGTCGTATTGGAAGGAACTTCATATAAAAGGCAAACGGAAGCATTCTCAGAATATTCTTTGTGATGATGGAGTTTCACTCACAGAGCTGAACATGCCTTTTGATGGAGCAGTTTCCAAATACACTTTTGGTAGAATCTGCAGGTGGATATTTGGAGCTCTCTGAGGATTTCGTTGGAAACGGGAATAATTTCCCATAACTAAACACAAACACTCTGAGAAAGTTCTTCATGATGAATGCATTTAACTCGCAGAGATGAACCTGCCTTTGAGAGTTCAGGTTCGAAACACTCTTTCTGTAGAATCTGCAAGTGGATATTTGGACCACTGGGTGGCCTTCGTTCGAAACGGGTATATGTTCACGTAAAAACTAAAGAGAAGCATTCTCAGAAACTTCTGAGTGATGATTGCATTCAAGTCACACAGTTGAACCCTCCTTTTGATGGAGCAGTTTTGAAACTGTCTTTTTGTAGAATCTGTAAGTGGATACGTGGACCTCTTTGAAGATTTCTTTCGAAACGGGAATATTTCCACAGAAAAACTAAACTGAAGCATTCTCAGAAACTGCTTTGTGATGTTTGTGTTCGAGCCACAGAGTTTAACATTGCTTTTCATAGAGCAGTTTTGAAATATTCTTTTGGCAGAATCTGCAAGTGGACATTTGGAGCGCTTTCAGGCCTGTGGTGGAAAAGGCCTGAAAGCCTTTTCCTTTATCTTCACAGGAAGACGAGAGAGAAGCATTGTCAGAAACTTCTTTGTGATGATTGCATTCAACTCACAGAGTTGAAGATTCCTTTTGAAACAGCAGTTTCGAAACACTCTTTCTGTGGGATCCGCAAGGGGATATTTGGACCTCTTTGAAGGTTTCGTTGGAAACGGGATAATCTTCACCTAAAAGCTAAACGGAAGCACTCTCAGAAACTTCTTTGGGATGTTTGCATTCACCTCTCAGAGTTGAACTTTCCCTTTGATAGCGCAGCTTTGACACACTTTTTCTACAATGTGCAAGTGGCTATTTAGCGGGCTTGGAGGACTGTGTTGGAAAAGGAAATATCTTCTCCTAAAAACGACATAGAAGCATTCTCAGAAACTGCTCTGTGATGATTGCATTCAACTCCCAGAGTTGAACATTCCTTTTGATAGAGCAGTTTGCAAACACTCTTTTTGTAGAATCTGCAAGTGGAGATTTGGACCGCTTTGAGGACTGGGGTAGTAAAGGAAAAAGCTTCATATAAAAACCAGACGGTAGCACTCTCAGAAAATTCTTTGTGACGATGGAGTTTAACTCAGGGAGCTGAACATTCGTTATGATGGAGCAGTTTCCAAACACACGTTTTGTAGAATCTGCAAGGGGATATTTGGACCTCTCTGAGGATTTCGTTGGAAACGGGATCAACTTCCCATAACTGAACGGAAGCAAACTCAGAACATTCTTTGTGATGTTTGTATTCAACTCCCAGAGTTGAACTTTCCTTTTGAAAGAGCAGCTATGAAACACTCTTTTTCGAGAATCTGCAAGTGGACGTTTGGAGGGCTTTGAGGCCTGTGGTGGAAAAGGAAATATCTTCACACAAAAACCAGATAGAAGCATTCTCAGAAACGACTTTGTGAGGATGGCATTCAACTCATGGAGTTGAACAATCCTATTGATAGAGCAGATTGGAATCACTCTTTTTGTAGAATCTGCAAATGGAGATTTGGACTGCTTTGAGGCCTACGGTAGTATAGGAAGGAACTTCATATAAAAGGCAAACGGAAGCATTCTCAGAATATTCTTTGTGATGATGGAGTTTCACTCACAGAGCTGAACATGCCTTTTGATGGAGCAGTTTCCAAATACACTTTTGGTAGAATCTGCAGGTGGATATTTGGAGCTCTCTGAGGATTTCGTTGGAAACGGGAATAATTTCCCATAACTAAACACAAACACTCTGAGAAAGTTCTTCATGATGAATGCATTTAACTCGCAGAGATGAACCTGCCTTTGAGAGTTCAGGTTCGAAACACTCTTTCTGTAGAATCTGCAAGTGGATATTTGGACCACTGGCTGGCCTTCGTTCGAAACGGGTATATGTTCACGTAAAAACTAAAGAGAAGCATTCTCAGAAACTTCTGAGTGATGATTGCATTCAAGTCACACAGTTGAACCCTCCTTTTGATGGAGCAGTTTTGAAACTGTCTTTTTGTAGAATCTGTAAGTGGATACGTGGACCTCTTTGAAGATTTCTTTGGAAACGGGAATATTTCCACAGAAAAACTAAACTGAAGCATTCTCAGAAACCGCTTTGTGATGTTTGTGTTCGAGCCACAGAGTTTAACATTGCTTTTCATAGAGCAGTTTTGAAATATTCTTTTGGCAGAATCTGCAAGTGGACATTTGGAGCGCTTTCAGGCCTGTGGTGGAAAAGGCCTGAAAGCCTTTTCCTTTATCTTCACAGAAAGACGAGAGAGAAGCATTGTCAGAAACTTCTTTGTGATGATTGCATTCAACTCACAGAGTTGAAGATTCCTTTTGAAACAGCAGTTTCGAAACACTCTTTCTGTGGGATCCGCAAGGGGATATTTGGACCTCTTTGAAGGTTTCGTTGGAAACGGGATAATCTTCACCTAAAAGCTAAACGGAAGCATTCTCAGAAACTTCTTTGGGATGTTTGCATTCACCTCACAGAGTTGAACTTTCCCTTTGATAGCGCAGCTTTGACACACGTTTTCTAAAATGTGCAAGTGGCTATTTAGCGGGCTTGGAGGACTGTGTTGGAAAAGGAAATATCTTCTCCTAAAAACGACATAGAAGCATTCTCAGAAACTGCTCTGTGATGATTGCATTCAACTCCCAGAGTTGAACATTCCTTTTGATAGAGCAGTTTGCAAACACTCTTTTTGTAGAATCTGCAAGTGGAGATTTGGACCGCTTTGAGGCCTGTGGTAGTGAAGGAAAGAGCTTCATATAAAAACCAGACGGTAGCACTCTCAGAAAATTCTTTGTGACGATGGAGTTTAACTCAGTGAGCTGAACATTCGTTATGATGGAGCAGTTTCCAAACACACGTTTTGTAGAATCTGCGAGGGGATATTTGGACCTCTCTGAGGATTTCGTTGGAAACGGGATCAACTTCCCATAACTGAACGGAAGCAAACTCAGAACATTCTTTGTGATGTTTGTATTCAACTCACAGAGTTGAACCTTCCTTTGATAGTTCAGGTTTGCAACACCCTTGTAGTAGAATCTGCAAGTGTATATTTTGACCACTTTGTAGCCTTCGTTTGAAACGTCTATATCTTCACATCAAACCTAGACAGAAGCATTCTTAGAAAGTTTTCTGCGATGACTGCATTCAACTCACAGAGTTGAACAATCCTTCTGATGGAGCAGTTTTGAAACCCTCTTTCTTTGGAATCTGCAAGGGGATATGTGGACCTCTTTGAAGATTTCACTGGAAACGGGATCATCTTCACATAAAAACTAAATATAAGCATTCTCGGAAACTACTTTGGGATGTTTGTATTCAACTCCCAGAGTTGAACTTTCCTTTTGAAAGAGCAGCTATGAAACACTCTTTTTCGAGAATCTGCAAGTGGACGTTTGGAGGGCTTTGAGGCCTGTGGTGGAAAAGGAAATATCTTCACATAAAAACTAGATAGAAGCATTCTCACAAACGACATTGTGAGGATGGAATTCAACTCATGGAGTTGAACAATCCTATTGATAGAGCAGATTGGAATCACTCTTTTTGTAGAATCTGCAAATGGAGATTTGGACTGCTTTGAGGCCTACGGTAGTATAGGAAGGAACTTCATATAAAAGGCAAACGGAAGCATTCTCAGAATATTCTTTGTGATGATGGAGTTTCACTCACAGAGCTGAACATGCCTTTTGATGGAGCAGTTTCCAAATACACTTTTGGTAGAATCTGCAGGTGGATATTTGGAGCTCTCTGAGGATTTCGTTGGAAACGGGAATAATTTCCCATAACTAAACACAAACACTCTGAGAAAGTTCTTCATGATGAATGCATTTAACTCGCAGAGATGAACCTGCCTTTGAGAGTTCAGGTTCGAAACACTCTTTCTGTAGAATCTGCAAGTGGATATTTGGACCACTGGGTGGCCTTCGTTCGAAACGGGTATATGTTCACATAAAAACTAAAAAGAAGCATTCTCAGAAACTTCTGAGTGATGATTGCATTCAAGTCACATAGTTGAACCCTCCTTTTGATGGAGCAGTTTTGAAACTGTCTTTTTGTAGAATCTGTAAGTGGATACGTGGACCTCTTTGAAGATTTCTTTGGAAACGGGAATATTTCCACGGAAAAACTAAACTGAAGCATTCTCAGAAACTGCTTTGTGATGTTTGTGTTCGAGCCACAGAGTTTAACATTGCTTTTCATAGAGCAGTTTTGAAATATTCTTTTCACAGAATCTGCAAGTGGACATTTGGAGCGCTTTCAGGCCTGTGGTGGAAAAGGCCTGAAAGCCTTTTCCTTTATCTTCACAGAAAGACGAGAGAGAAGCATTGTCAGAAACTTCTTTGTGATGATTGCATTCAACTCACAGAGTTGAAGATTCCTTTTGAAACAGCAGTTTCGAAACACTCTTTCTGTGGGATCCGCAAGGGGATATTTGGACCTCTTTGAAGGTTTCGTTGGAAACGGGATAATCTTCACCTAAAAGCTAAACGGAAGCATTCTCAGAAACTTCTTTGGGATGTTTGCATTCACCTCACAGAGTTGAACTTTCCCTTTGATAGCGCAGCTTTGACACACTTTTTCTACAATGTGCAAGTGGCTATTTAGCGGGCTTGGAGGACTGTGTTGGAAAAGGAAATATCTTCTCCTAAAAACGACATAGAAGCATTCTCAGAAACTGCTCTGTGATGATTGCATTCAACTCCCAGAGTTGAACATTCCTTTTGATAGAGCAGTTTGCAAACACTCTTTTTGTAGAATCTGCAAGTGGAGATTTGGACCGCTTTGAGGCCTGTGGTAGTGAAGGAAAGAACTTCATATAAAAACCAGACGGTAGCACTCTCAGAAAATTCTTTGTGACGATGGAGTTTAACTCACGGAGCTGAACATTCGTTATGATGGAGCAGTTTCCAAACACACGTTTTGTAGAATCTGTGAGGGGATATTTGGACCTCTCTGAGGATTTCGTTGGAAACGGGATCAACTTCCCATAACTGAACGGAAGCAAACTCAGAACATTCTTTGTGATGTTTGTATTCAACTCACAGAGTTGAACCTTCCTTTGATAGTTCAGGTTTGCAACACCCTTGTAGTAGAATCTGCAAGTGTATATTTTGACCACTTTGTAGCCTTCGTTTGAAACGTCTATATCTTCACATCAAACCTAGACAGAAGCATTCTCAGAAAGTTTTCTGCGATGACTGCATTCAACTCACAGAGTTGAACAATCCTTTTGATGGAGCAGTTTTGAAACCCTCTTTCTTTGGAATCTGCAAGGGGATATGTGGACCTCTTTGAAGATTTCACTGGAAACGGGATCATCTTCACATAAGAACTAAACAGAAGCATTCTCGGAAACTACTTTGTGATGTTTGTATTCAACTCCCAGAGTTGAACTTTCCTTTTGAAAGAGCAGCTATGAAACACTCTTTTTCGAGAATCTGCAAGTGGACGTTTGGAGGGCTTTGAGGCCTGTGGTGGAAAAGGAAATATCTTCACATAAAAACTAGATAGAAGCATTCTCAGAAACGACTTTGTGAGGATGGCATTCAACTCATGGAGTTGAACAATCCTATTGATAGAGCAGATTGGAATCACTCTTTTTGTAGAATCTGCAAATGGAGATTTGGACTGCTTTGAGGCCTACGGTAGTATAGGAAGGAACTTCATATAAAAGGCAAACGGAAGCATTCTCAGAATATTCTTTGTGATGATGGAGTTTCACTCACAGAGCTGAACATGCCTTTTGATGGAGCAGTTTCCAAATACACTTTTGGTAGAATCTGCAGGTGGATATTTGGAGCTCTCTGAGGATTTCGTTGGAAACGGGAATAATTTCCCATAACTAAACACAAACACTCTGAGAAAGTTCTTCATGATGAATGCATTTAACTCGCAGAGATGAACCTGCCTTTGAGAGTTCAGGTTCGAAACACTCTTTCTGTAGAATCTGCAAGTGGATATTTGGACCACTGGGTGGCCTTCGTTCGAAACGGGTATATGTTCACGTAAAAACTAAAGAGAAGCATTCTCAGAAACTTGTGAGTGATGATTGCATTCAAGTCACACAGTAGAACCCTCCTTTTGATGGAGCAGTTTTGAAACTGTCTTTTTGTAGAATCTGTAAGTGGATACGTGGACCTCTTTGAAGATTTCTTTGGAAACGGGAATATTTCCACAGAAAAACTAAACTGAAGCATTCTCAGAAACCGCTTTGTGATGTTTGTGTTCGAGCCACAGAGTTTAACATTGCTTTTCATAGAGCAGTTTTGAAATATTCTTTTGGCAGAATCTGCAAGTGGACATTTGGAGCGCTTTCAGGCCTGTGGTGGAAAAGGCCTGAAAGCCTTTTCCTTTATCTTCACAGAAAGACGAGAGAGAAGCATTGTCAGAAACTTCTTTGTGATGATTGCATTCAACTCACAGAGTTGAAGATTCCTTTTGAAACAGCAGTTTCGAAACACTCTTTCTGTGGGATCTGCAAGGGGATATTTGGACCTCTTTGAAGGTTTCGTTGGAAACGGGATAATCTTCACCTAAAAGCTAAACGGAAGCATTCTCAGAAACTTCTTTGGGATGTTTGCATTCACCTCACAGAGTTGAACTTTCCCTTTGATAGCGCAGCTTTGACACACGTTTTCTACAATGTGCAAGTGGCTATTTAGCAGGCTTGGAGGACTGTGTTGGAAAAGGAAATATCTTCTCCTAAAAACGACATAGAAGCATTCTCAGAAACTGCTCTGTGATGATTGCATTCAACTCCCAGAGTTGAACATTCCTTTTGATAGAGCAGTTTGCAAACACTCTTTTTGTAGAATCTGCAAGTGGAGATTTGGACCGCTTTGAGGCCTGTGGTAGTGAAGGAAAGAGCTTCATATAAAAACCAGACGGTAGCACTCTCAGAAAATTCTTTGTGACGATGGAGTTTAACTCAGGGAGCTGAACATTCGTTATGATGGAGCAGTTTCCAAAAACACGTTTTGTAGAATCTGCAAGGGGATATTTGGACCTCTCTGAGGATTTCGTTGGAAACGGGATCAACTTCCCATAACTGAACGGAAGCAAACTCAGAACATTCTTTGTGATGTTTGTATTCAACTCACAGAGTTGAACCTTCCTTTGATAGTTCAGGTTTGCAACACCCTTGTAGTAGAATCTGCAAGTGTATATTTTGACCACTTTGTAGCCTTCGTTTGAAACGTCTATATCTTCACATCAAACCTAGACAGAAGCATTCTCAGAAAGTTTTCTGCGATGACTGCATTCAACTCACAGAGTTGAACAATCCTATTGATGGAGCAGTTTTGAAACCCTCTTTCTTTGGAATCTGCAAGGGGATATGTGGACCTCTTTGAAGATTTCACTGGAAACGGGATCATCTTCACATAAAAACTAAACAGAAGCATTCTCGGAAACTACTTTGTGATGTTTGTATTCAACTCCCAGAGTTGAACTTTCCTTTTGAAAGAGCAGCTATGAAACACTCTTTTTCGAGAATCTGCAAGTGGACGTTTGGAGGGCTTTGAGGCCTGTGGTGGAAAAGGAAATATCTTCACATAAAAACTAGATAGAAGCATTCTCAGAAACGACTTTGTGAGGATGGCATTCAACTCATGGAGTTGAACAATCCTATTGATAGAGCAGATTGGAATCACTCTTTTTGTAGAATCTGCAAATGGAGATTTGCACTGCTTTGAGGCCTACGGTCGTATAGGAAGGAACTTCATATAAAAGGCAAACGGAAGCATTCTCAGAATATTCTTTGTGATGATGGAGTTTCACTCACAGAGCTGAACATGCCTGTTGATGGAGCAGTTTCCAAATACACTTTTGGTAGAATCTGCAGGTGGATATTTGGAGCTCTCTGAGGATTTCGTTGGAAACGGGAATAATTTCCCATAACTAAACACAAACACTCTGAGAAAGTTCTTCATGATGAATGCATTTAACTCGCAGAGATGAACCTGCCTTTGAGAGTTCAGGTTCGAAACACTCTTTCTGTATAATCTGCAAGTGGATATTTGGACCACTGGGTGGCCTTCGTTCGAAACGGGTATATGTTCACGTAAAAACTAAAGAGAAGCATTCTCAGAAACTTCTGAGTGATGATTGCATTCAAGTCACACAGTTGAACCCTCCTTTTGATGGAGCAGTTTTGAAACTGTCTTTTTGTAGAATCTGTAAGTGGATACGTGGACCTCTTTGAAGATTTCTTTGGAAACGGGAATATTTCCACAGAAAAACTAAACTGAAGCATTCTCAGAAACTGCTTTGTGATGTTTGTGTTCGAGCCACAGAGTTTAACATTGCTTTTCATAGAGCAGTTTTGAAATATTCTTTTCGCAGAATCTGCAAGTGGACATTTGGAGCGCTTTCAGGCCTGTGGTGGAAAAGGCCTGAAAGCCTTTTCCTTTATCTTCACAGAAAGACGAGAGAGAAGCATTGTCAGAAACTTCTTTGTGATGATTGCATTCAACTCACAGAGTTGAAGATTCCTTTTGAAACAGCAGTTTCGAAACACTCTTTCTGTGGGATCCGCAAGGGGATATTTGGACCTACTTTGAAGGTTTCGTTGGAAACGGGATAATCTTCACCTAAAAGCTAAACGGAAGCATTCTCAGCAAACTTCTTTGGGATGTTTGCATTCACCTCACAGAGTTGAACTTTCCCTTTGATAGCGCAGCTTTGACACACTTTTTCTACAATGTGCAAGTGGCTATTTAGCGGGCTTGGAGGACTGTGTTGGAAAAGGAAATATCTTCTCCTAAAAACGACATAGAAGCATTCTCAGAAACTGCTCTGTGATGATTGCATTCAACTCCCAGAGTTGAACATTCCTTTTGATAGAGCAGTTTGCAAACACTCTTTTTGTAGAATCTGCAAGTGGAGATTTGGACCGCTTTGAGGCCTGTGGTAGTGAAGGAAAGAACTTCATATAAAAACCAGACGGTAGCACTCTCAGAAAATTCTTTGTGACGATGGAGTTTAACTCAGGGAGCTGAACATTCGTTATGATGGAGCAGTTTCCAAACACACGTTTTGTAGAATCTGCGAGGGGATATTTGGACCTCTCTGAGGATTTCGTTGGAAACGGGATCAACTTCCCATAACTGAACGGAAGCAAACTCAGAACATTCTTTGTGATGTTTGTATTCAACTCACACAGTTGAACCTTCCTTTGATAGTTCAGGTTTGCAACACCCTTGTAGTAGAATCTGCAAGTGTATATTTTGACCACTTTGTAGCCTTCGTTTGAAACGTCTATATCTTCACATCAAACCTAGACAGAAGCATTCTCAGAAAGTTTTCTGCGATGACTGCATTCAACTCACAGAGTTGAACAATCCTCTGATGGAGCAGTTTTGAAACCCTCTTTCTTTGGAATCTGCAAGGGGATATGTGGACCTCTTTGAAGATTTCACTGGAAACGGGATCATCTTCACATAAAAACTAAACAGAAGCATTCTCGGAAACTATTTTGTGATGTTTGTATTCAACTCCCAGAGTTGAACTTTCCTTTTGAAAGAGCAGCTATGAAACACTCTTTTTCGAGAATCTGCAAGTGGACGTTTGGAGGGCTTTGAGGCCTGTGGTGGAAAAGGAAATATCTTCACACAAAAACCAGATAGAAGCATTCTCAGAAACTACTTTGTGAGGATGGCATTCAACTCATGGAGTTGAACAATCCTATTGATAGAGCAGATTGGAATCACTCTTTTTATAGAATCTGCAAATGGAGATTTGGACTGCTTTGAGGCCTACGGTAGTACAGGAAGGAACTTCATATAAAAGGCAAACGGAAGCATTCTCAGAATATTCTTTGTGATGATGGAGTTTCACTCACAGAGCTGAACATGCCTTTTGATGGAGCAGTTTCCAAATACACTTTTGGTAGAATCTGCAGGTGGATATTTGGAGCTCTCTGAGGATTTCGTTGGAAACGGGAATAATTTCCCATAACTAAACACAAACACTCTGAGAAAGTTCTTCATGATGAATGCATTTAACTCGCAGAGATGAACCTGCCTTTGAGAGTTCAGGTTCGAAACACTCTTTCTGTATAATCTGCAAGTGGATATTTGGACCACTGGGTGGCCTTCGTTCGAAACGGGTATATGTTCACGTAAAAACTAAAGAGAAGCATTCTCAGAAACTTCTGAGTGATGATTGCATTCAAGTCACACGGTTGAACCCTCCTTTTGATGGAGCAGTTTTGAAACTGTCTTTTTGTAGAATCTGTAAGTGGATACGTGGACCTCTTTGAAGATTTCTTTGGAAACGGGAATATTTCCACAGAAAAACTAAACTGAAGCATTCTCAGAAACCGCTTTGTGATGTTTGTGTTCGAGCCACAGAGTTTAACATTGCTTTTCATAGAGCAGTTTTGAAATATTCTTTTCGCAGAATCTGCAAGTGGACATTTGGAGCGCTTTCAGGCCTGTGGTGGAAAAGGCCTGAAAGCCTTTTCCTTTATCTTCTCAGAAAGACGAGAGAGAAGCATTGTCAGAAACTTCTTTGTGATGATTGCATTCAACTCACAGAGTTGAAGATTCCTTTTGAAACAGCAGTTTCGAAACACTCTTTCTGTGGGATCCGCAAGGGGATATTTGGACCTCTTTGAAGGTTTCGTTGGAAACGGGATAATCTTCACCTAAAAGCTAAACGGAAGCGTTCTCAGAAACTTCTTTGGGATGTTTGCATTCACCTCACAGAGTTGAACTTTCCCTTTGATAGCGCAGCTTTGACACACTTTTTCTACAATGTGCAAGTGGCTATTTAGCGGGCTTGGAGGACTGTGTTGGAAAAGGAAATATCTTCTCCTAAAAACGACATAGAAGCATTCTCAGAAACTGCTCTGTGATGATTGCATTCAACTCCCAGAGTTGAACATTCCTTTTGATAGAGCAGTTTGCAAACACTCTTTTTGTAGAATCTGCAAGTGGAGATTTGGACCGCTTTGAGGCCTGTGGTAGTGAAGGAAAGAACTTCATATAAAAACCAGACGGTAGCACTCTCAGAAAATTCTTTGTGACGATGGAGTTTAACTCAGGGAGCTGAACATTCGTTATGATGGAGCAGTTTCCAAACACACGTTTTGTAGAATCTGCAAGGGGATATTTGGACCTCTCTGAGGATTTCGTTGGAAACGGGATCAACTTCCCATAACTGAACGGAAGCAAACTCAGAACATTCTTTGTGATGTTTGTATTCAACTCACAGAGTTGAACCTTCCTTTGATAGTTCAGGTTTGCAACACCCTTGTAGTAGAATCTGCAAGTGTATATTTTGACCACTTTGTAGCCTTCATTTGAAACGTCTATATCTTCACATCAAACCTAGACAGAAGCATTCTCAGAAAGTTTTCTGCGATGACTGCATTCAACTCACAGAGTTGAACAATCCTTTTGATGGAGCAGTTTTGAAACCCTCTTTCTTTGCAATCTGCAGGGGGATATGTGGACCTCTTTGAAGATTTCACTGGAAACGGGATCATCTTCACATAAAAACTAAACAGAAGCATTCTCGGAAACTACTTTGTGATGTTTGTATTCAACTCCCAGAGTTGAACTTTCCTTTTGAAAGAGCAGCTATGAAACACTCTTTTTCGAGAATCTGCAAGTGGACGTTTGGAGGGCTTTGAGGCCTGTGGTGGAAAAGGAAATATCTTCACATAAAAACTAGATAGAAGCATTCTCAGAATATTCTTTGTGATGATGGAGTTTCACTCACAGAGCGGAACATGCCTTTTGATGGAGCAGTTTCCAAATACACTTTTGGTAGAATCTGCAGGTGGATATTTGGAGCTCTCTGAGGATTTCGTTGGAAACGGGAATAATTTCCCATAACTAAACACAAACACTCTGAGAAAGTTCTTCATGATGAATGCATTTAACTCGCAGAGATGAACCTGCCTTTGAGAGTTCATGTTCGAAACACTCTTTCTGTAGAATCTGCAAGTGGATATTTGGACCACTGGGTGGCCTTCGTTCGAAACGGGTATATGTTCACGTAAAAACTAAAGAGAAGCATTCTCAGAAACTTCTGAGTGATGATTGCATTCAAGTCACACAGTTGAACCCTCCTTTTGATGGAGCAGTTTTGAAACTGTCTTTTTGTAGAATCTGTAAGTGGATACGTGGACCTCTTTGAAGATTTCTTTGGAAACGGGAATATTTCCACAGAAAAACTAAACTGAATCATTCTCAGAAACTGCTTTGTGATGTTTGTGTTCGAGCCACAGAGTTTAACATTGCTTTTCATAGAGCAGTTTTGAAATATTCTTTTCGCAGAATCTGCAAGTGGACATTTGGAGCGCTTTCAGGCCTGTGGTGGAAAAGGCCTGAAAGCCTTTTCCTTTATCTTCACAGAAAGACGAGAGAGAAGCATTGTCAGAAACTTCTTTGTGATGATTGCATTCAACTCACAGAGTTGAAGATTCCTTTTGAAACAGCAGTTTCGAAACACTCTTTCTGTGGGATCCGCAAGGGGATATTTGGACCTCTTGGAAGGTTTCGTTGGAAACGGGATAATCTTCACCTAAAAGCTAAACGGAAGCATTCTCAGAAACTTCTTTGGGATGTTTGCATTCACCTCACAGAGTTGAACTTTCCCTTTGATAGCGCAGCTTTGACACACTTTTTCTACAATGTGCAAGTGGCTATTTAGCGGGCTTGGAGGACTGTGTTGGAAAAGGAAATATCTTCTCCTAAAAACGACATAGAAGCATTCTCAGAAACTGCTCTGTGATGATTGCATTCAACTCCCAGAGTTGAACATTCCTTTTGATAGAGCAGTTTGCAAACTCTCTTTTTGTAGAATCTGCAAGTGGAGATTTGGACCGCTTTGAGGCCTGGGGTAGTGAAGGAAAGAACTTCATATAAAAACCAGACGGTAGCACTCTCAGAAAATTCTTTGTGACGATGGAGTTTAACTCAGGGAGCTGAACATTCATTATGATGGAGCAGTTTCCAAACACACGTTTTGTAGAATCTGCAAGGGGATATTTGGACCTCTCTGAGGATTTCGTTGGAAACGGGATCAACTTCCCATAACTGAACGGAAGCAAACTCAGAACATTCTTTGTGATGTTTGTATTCAACTCACAGAGTTGAACCTTCCTTTGATAGTTCAGGTTTGCAACACCCTTGTAGTAGAATCTGCAAGTGTATATTTTGACCACTTTGTAGCCTTCATTTGAAACGTCTATATCTTCACATCAAACCTAGACAGAAGCATTCTCAGAAAGTTTTCTGCGATGACTGCATTCAACTCACAGAGTTGAACAATCCTTCTGATGGAGCAGTTTTGAAACCCTCTTTCTTTGGAATCTGCAAGGGGATATGTGGACCTCTTTGAAGATTTCACTGGAAACGGGATCATCTTCACATAAAAACTAAACAGAAGCATTCTCGGAAACTACTTTGTGATGTTTGTATTCAACTCCCAGAGTTGAACTTTCCTTTTGAAAGAGCAGCTATGAAACACTCTTTTTCGAGAATCTGCAAGTGGACGTTTGGAGGGCTTTGAGGCCTGTGGTGGAAAAGGAAATATCTTCACATAAAACTAGATAGAAGCATTCTCAGAAACTACTTTGTGAGGATGGCATTCAACTCATGGAGTTGAACAATCCTATTGATAGAGCAGATTGGAATCACTCTTTTTGTAGAATCTGCAAATGGAGATTTGGACTGCTTTGAGGCCTACGGTCGTATAGGAAGGAACTTCATATAAAAGGCAAACGGAAGCATTCTCAGAATATTCTTTGTGATGATGGAGTTTCACTCACAGACCTGAACATGCCTTTTGATGGAGCAGTTTCCAAATACACTTTTGGTAGAATCAGCAGGTGGATATTTGGAGCTCTCTGAGGATTTCGTTGGAAACGGGAATAATTTCCCATAACTAAACACAAACACTCTGAGAAAGTTCTTCATGATGAATGCATTTAACTTGCAGAGATGAACCTGCCTTTGAGAGTTCAGGTTCGAAACACTCTTTCTGTATAATCTGCAAGTGGATATTTGGACCACTGGGTGGCCTTCGTTCGAAACGGGTATATGTTCACGTAAAAACTAAAGAGAAGCATTCTCAGAAACTTCTGAGTGATGATTGCATTCAAGTCACACAGTTGAACCCTCCTTTTGATGGAGCAGTTTTGAAACTGTCTTTTTGTAGAATCTGTAAGTGGATACGTGGACCTCTTTGAAGATTTCTTTGGAAACGGGAATATTTCCACAGAAAAACTAAACTGAAGCATTCTCAGAAACTGCTTTGTGATGTTTGTGTTCGAGCCACAGAGTTTAACATTGCTTTTCATAGAGCAGTTTTGAAATATTCTTTTCGCAGAATCTGCAAGTGGACATTTGGAGCGCTTTCAGGCCTGTGGTGGAAAAGGCCTGAAAGCCTTTTCTTTATCTTCACAGAAAGACGAGAGAGAAGCATTGTCAGAAACTTCTTTGTGATGATTGCATTCAACTCACAGAGTTGAAGATTCCTTTTGAAACAGCAGTTTCGAAACACTCTTTCTGTGGGATCCGCAAGGGGATATTTGCACCTCTTTGAAGGTTTCGTTGGAAACGGGATAATCTTCACCTAAAAGCTAAACGGAAGCATTCTCAGAAACTTCTTTGGGATGTTTGCATTCACCTCACAGAGTTGAACTTTCCCTTTGATAGCGCAGCTTTGACACACTTTTTCTACAATGTGCAAGTGGCTATTTAGCGGGCTTGGAGGACTGTGTTGGAAAAGGAAATATCTTCTAAAAACGACATAGAAGCATTCGCAGAAACTGCTCTGTGATGATTGCATTCAACTCCCAGAGTTGAACATTCCTTTTGATAGAGCAGTTTGCAAACACTCTTTTTGTAGAATCTGCAAGTGGAGATTTGGACCGCTTTGAGGCCTGTGGTAGTGAAGGAAAGAACTTCATATAAAAACCAGACGGTAGCACTCTCAGAAAATTCTTTGTGACGATGGAGTTTAACTCAGGGAGCTGAACATTCGTTATGATGGAGCAGTTTCCAAACACACGTTTTGTAGAATCTGCGAGGGGATATTTGGACCTCTCTGAGGATTTCGTTGGAAACGGGATCAACTTCCCATAACTGAACGGAAGCAAACTCAGAACATTCTTTGTGATGTTTGTATTCAATTCACAGAGTTGAACCTTCCTTTGATAGTTCAGGTTTGCAACACCCTTGTAGTAGAATCTGCAAGTGTATATTTTGACCACTTTGTAGCCTTCGTTTGAAACGTCTATATCTTCACATCAAACCTAGACAGAAGCATTCTCAGAAAGTTTTCTGCGATGACTGCATTCAACTCACAGAGTTGAACAATCCTTCTGATGGAGCAGTTTTGAAACCCTCTTTCTTTGGAATCTGCAAGGGGATATGTGGACCTCTTTGAAGATTTCACTGGAAACGGGATCATCTTCATATAAAAACTAAACAGAAGCATTCTCAGAAACTATTTTGTGATGTTTGTATTCAACTCCCAGAGTTGAACTTTCCTTTTGAAAGAGCAGCTATGAAACACTCTTTTTCGAGAATCTGCAAGTGGACGTTTGGAGGGCTTTGAGGCCTGTGGTGGAAAAGGAAATATCTTCACACAAAAACCAGATAGAAGCATTCTCAGAAACTACTTTGTGAGGATGGCATTCAACTCATGGAGTTGAACAATCCTATTGATAGAGCAGATTGGAATCACTCTTTTTATAGAATCTGCAAATGGAGATTTGGACTGCTTTGAGGCCTACGGTAGTACAGGAAGGAACTTCATATAAAAGGCAAACGGAAGCATTCTCAGAATATTCTTTGTGATGATGGAGTTTCACTCACAGAGCTGAACATGCCTTTTGATGGAGCAGTTTCCAACTACACTTTTGGTAGAAACTGCAGGTGGATATTTGGAGCTCTCTGAGGATTTCGTTGGAAACGGGAATAATTTCCCATAACTAAACACAAACACTCTGAGAAAGTTCTTCATGATGAATGCATTTAACTCGCAGAGATGAACCTGCCTTTGAGAGTTCAGGTTCGAAACACTCTTTCTGTAGAATCTGCAAGTGGATATTTGGACCACTGGGTGGCCTTCGTTCAAAACGGGTATATGTTCACGTAAAAACTAAAGAGAAGCATTCTCAGAAACTTCTGAGTGATGATTGCATTCAAGTCACACAGTTGAACCCTCCTTTTGATGGAGCAGTTTTGAAACTGTCTTTTTGTAGAATCTGTAAGTGGATACGTGGACCTCTTTGAAGATTTCTTTGGAAACGGGAATATTTCCACAGAAAAACTAAACTGAAGCATTCTCAGAAACTGCTTTGTGATGTTTGTGTTCGAGCCACAGAGTTTAACATTGCTTTTCATAGAGCAGTTTTGAAATATTCTTTTGGCAGAATCTACAAGTGGACATTTGGAGCGCTTTCAGGCCTGTGGTGGAAAAGGCCTGAAAGCCTTTTCCTTTATCTTCACAGAAAGACGAGAGAGAAGCATTGTCAGAAACTTCTTTGTGATGATTGCATTCAACTCACAGAGTTGAAGATTCCTTTTGAAACAGCAGTTTCGAAACACTCTTTCTGTGGGATCCGCAAGGGGATATTTGGACCTCTTTGAAGGTTTCGTTGGAAACGGGATAATCTTCACCTAAAAGCTAAACGGAAGCATTCTCAGAAACTTCTTTGGGATGTTTGCATTCACCTCACAGAGTTGAACTTTCCCTTTGATAGCGCAGCTTTGACACACTTTTTCTACAATGTGCAAGTGGCTATTTAGCGGGCTTGGAGGACTGTGTTGGAAAAGGAAATATCTTCTCCTAAAAACGACATAGAAGCATTCTCAGAAACTGCTCTGTGATGATTGCATTCAACTCCCAGAGTTGAACATTCCTTTTGATAGAGCAGTTTGCAAACACTCTTTTTGTAGAATCTGCAAGTGGAGATTTGGACCGCTTTGAGGCCAGTGGTAGTGAAGGAAAGAACTTCATATAAAAACCAGACGGTAGCACTCTCAGAAAATTCTTTGTGACGATGGAGTTTAACTCAGGGAGCTGAACATTCGTTATGATGGAGCAGTTTCCAAACACACGTTTTGTAGAATCTGCAAGGGGATATTTGGGCCTCTCTGAGGATTTCGTTGGAAACGGGATCAGCTTCCCATAACTGAACGGAAGCAAACTCAGAACATTCTTTGTGATGTTTGTATTCAACTCACAGAGTTGAACCTTCCTTTGATAGTTCAGGTTTGCAACACCCTTGTAGTAGAATCTGCAAGTGTATATTTTGACCACTTTGTAGCCTTCATTTGAAACGTCTATATCTTCACATCAAACCTAGACAGAAGCATTCTCAGAAAGTTTTCTGCGATGACTGCATTCAACTCACAGAGTTGAACAATCCTTCTGATGGAGCAGTTTTGAAACCCTCTTTCTTTGGAATCTGCAAGGGGATATGTGGACCTCTTTGAAGATTTCACTGGAAACGGGATCATCTTCACATAAAAACTAAACAGAAGCATTCTCGGAAACTACTTTGTGATGTTTGTATTCAACTCCCAGAGTTGAACTTTCCTTTTGAAAGAGCAGCTATGAAACACTCTTTTTCGAGAATCTGCAAGTGGACGTTTGGAGGGCTTTGAGGCCTGTGGTGGAAAAGGAAATATCTTCACATAAAAACTAGATAGAAGCATTCTCAGAAACGACTTTGTGAGGATGGCATTCAACTCATGGAGTTGAACAGTCCTATTGATAGAGCAGATTGGAATCACTCTTTTTGTAGAATCTGCAAATGGAGATTTGGACTGCTTTGAGGCCTACGGTCGTATAGGAAGGAACTTCATATAAAAGGCAAACGGAAGCATTCTCAGAATATTCTTTGTGATGATGTAGTTTCACTCACAGAGCTGAACATGCCTTTTGATGGAGCAGTTTCCAAATACACTTTTGGTAGAATCTGCAGGTGGATATTTGGAGCTCTCTGAGGATTTCGTTGGAAACGGGAATAATTTCCCATAACTAAACACAAACACGCTGAGAAAGTTCTTCATGATGAATGCATTTAACTCGCAGAGATGAACCTGCCTTTGAGAGTTCAGGTTCAAAACACTCTTTCTGTAGAATCTGCAAGTGGATATTTGGACCACTGGCTGGCCTTCGTTCGAAACGGGTATATGTTCACGTAAAAACTAAAGAGAAGCGTTCTCAGAAACTTCTGAGTGATGAATGCATTCAAGTCACACAGTTGAACCCTCCTTTTGATTGAGCAGTTTTGAAACTGTCTTTTTGTAGAATCTGTAAGTGGATGCGTGGACCTCTTTGAAGATTTCTTTGGAAACCGGAATATTTCCACAGAAAAACTAAACTGAAGCATTCTCAGCAAACTGCTTTGTGATGTTTGTGTTCGAGCCACAGAGTTTAACATTGCTTTTCATAGAGCAGTTTTGAAATATTCTTTTGGCAGAATCTACAAGTGGACATTTGGAGCGCTTTCAGGCCTGTGGTGGAAAAGGCCTGAAAGCCTTTTCCTTTATCTTCACAGAAAGACGAGAGAGAAGCATTGTCAGAAACTTCTTTGTGATGATTGCATTCAACTCACAGAGTTGAAGATTCCTTTTGAAACAGCAGTTTCGAAACACTCTTTCTGTGGGATCCGCAAGGGGATATTTGGACCTCTTTGAAGGTTTCGTTGGAAACGGGATAATCTTCACCTAAAAGCTAAACGGAAGCATTCTCAGAAACTTCTTTGGGATGTTTGCATTCACCTCACAGAGTTGAACTTTCCCTTTGATAGCGCAGCTTTGACACACTTTTTCTACAATGTGCAAGTGGATATTTAGCGGGCTTGGAGGACTGTGTTGGAAAAGGAAATATCTTCTAAAAACGACATAGAAGCATTCTCAGAAACTGCTCTGTGATGATTGCATTCAACTCCCAGAGTTGAACATTCCTTTTGATAGAGCAGTTTGCAAACACTCTTTTTGTAGAATCTGCAAGTGGAGATTTGGACCGCTTTGAGGCCTGTGGTAGTGAAGGAAAGAACTTCATATAAAAACCAGACGGTAGCACTCTCAGAAAATTCTTTGTGACGATGGAGTTTAACTCAGGGAGCTGAACATTCGTTATGATGGAGCAGTTTCCAAACACACGTTTTGTAGAATCTGCAAGGGGATATTTGGACCTCTCTGAGGATTTCGTTGGAAACGGGATCAACTTCCCATAACTGAACGGAAGCAAACTCAGAACATTCTTTGTGATGTTTGTATTCAACTCACAGAGTTGAACCTTCCTTTGATAGTTCAGGTTTGCAACACCCTTGTAGTAGAATCTGCAAGTGTATATTTTGACCACTTTGTAGCCTTCATTTGAAACGTCTATATCTTCACATCAAACCTAGACAGAAGCATTCTCAGAAAGTTTTCTGCGATGACTGCATTCAACTCACAGAGTTGAACAATCCTTTTGATGGAGCAGTTTTGAAACCCTCTTTCTTTGGAATCTGCAAGGGGATATGTGGACCTCTTTGAAGATTTCACTGGAAACGGGATCATCTTCACATAAAAACTAAACAGAAGCATTCTCGGAAACTACTTTGTGATGTTTGTATTCAACTCCCAGAGTTGAACTTTCCTTTTGAAAGAGCAGCTATGAAACACTCTTTTTCGAGAATCTGCAAGTGGACGTTTGGAGGGCTTTGAGGCCTGTGGTGGAAAAGGAAATATCTTCACATAAAAACTAGATAGAAGCATTCTCAGAAACTACTTTGTGAGGATGGCATTCAACTCATGGAGTTGAACAATCCTATTGATAGAGCAGATTGGAATCACTCTTTTTGTAGAATCTGCAAATGGAGATTTGGACTGCTTTGAGGCCTACGGTCGTATAGGAAGGAACTTCATATAAAAGGCAAACGGAAGCATTCTCAGAATATTCTTTGTGATGATGGAGTTTCACTCACAGAGCTGAACATGCCTTTTGATGGAGCAGTTTCCAAATACACTTTTGGTAGAATCTGCAGGTGGATATTTGGAGCTCTCTGAGGATTTCGTTGGAAACGGGAATAATTTCCCATAACTAAACACAAACACTCTGAGAAAGTTCTTCATGATGAATGCATTTAACTCGCAGAGATGAACCTGCCTTTGAGAGTTCAGGTTCGAAACACTCTTTCTGTAGAATCTGCAAGTGGATATTTGGACCACTGGGTGGCCTTCGTTCGAAACGGGTATATGTTCACGTAAAAACTAAAGAGAAGCATTCTCAGAAACTTCTGAGTGATGATTGCATTCAAGTCACACAGTTGAACCCTCCTTTTGATGGAGCAGTTTTGAAACTGTCTTTTTGTAGAATCTGTAAGTGGATACGTGGACCTCTTTGAAGATTTCTTTGGAAACGGGAATATTTCCACAGAAAAACTAAACTGAAGCATTCTCAGAAACTGCTTTGTGATGTTTGTGTTCGAGCCACAGAGTTTAACATTGCTTTTCATAGAGCAGTTTTGAAATATTCTTTTGGCAGAATCTGCAAGTGGACATTTGGAGCGCTTTCAGGCCTGTGGTTGGGAAAAGGCCTGAAAGCCTTTTCCTTTATCTTCACAGAAAGACGAGAGAGAAAGCATTGTCAGAAACTTCTTTGTGATGATTGCATTCAACTCACAGTAGTTGAAGATTCCTTTTGAAACAGCAGTTTCGAAACACTCTTTCTGTGGGATCCGCAAGGGGATATTTGGACCTCTTTGAAGGTTTCGTTGGAAACGGGATAATCTTCACCTAAAAGCTAAACGGAAGCATTCTCAGAAACTTCTTTGGGATGTTTGCATTCACCTCACAGAGTTGAACTTTCCCTTTGATAGCGCAGCTTCGACACACTTTTTCTACAATGTGCAAGTGGCTATTTAGCGGGCTTGGAGGACTGTGTTGGAAAAGGAAATATCTTCTCCTAAAAACGACATAGAAGCATTCTCAGAAACTGCTCTGTGATGATTGCATTCAACTCCCAGAGTTGAACATTCCTTTTGATAGAGCAGTTTGCAAACACTCTTTTTGTAGAATCTGCAAGTGGAGATTTGGACCGCTTTGAGGCCTGTGGTAGTGAAGGAAAGAACTTCATATAAAAACCAGACGGTAGCACTCTCAGAAAATTCTTTGTGACGATGGAGTTTAACTCAGGGAGCTGAACATTCGTTATGATGGAGCAGTTTCCAAACACACGTTTTGTAGAATCTGCGAGGGGATATTTGGACCTCTCTGAGGATTTCGTTGGAAACGGGATCAACTTCCCATAACTGAACGGAAGCAAACTCAGAACATTCTTTGTGATGTTTGTATTCAATTCACAGAGTTGAACCTTCCTTTGATAGTTCAGGTTTGCAACACCCTTGTAGTAGAATCTGCAAGTGTATATTTTGACCACTTTGTAGCCTTCGTTTGAAACGTCTATATCTTCACATCAAACCTAGACAGAAGCATTCTCAGAAAGTTTTCTGCGATGACTGCATTCAACTCACAGAGTTGAACAATCCTTCTGATGGAGCAGTTTTGAAACCCTCTTTCTTTGGAATCTGCAAGGGGATATGTGGACCTCTTTGAAGATTTCACTGGAAACGGGATCATCTTCACATAATAACTAAACAGAAGCATTCTCGGAAACTATTTTGTGATGTTTGCATTCAACTCCCAGAGTTGAACTTTCCTTTTGAAAGAGCAGCTATGAAACACTCTTTTTCGAGAATCTGCAAGTGGACGTTTGGAGGGCTTTGAGGCCTGTGGTGGAAAAGGAAATATCTTCACACAAAAACCAGATAGAAGCATTCTCAGAAACTACTTTGTGAGGATGGCATTCAAATCATGGAGTTGAACAATCCTATTGATAGAGCAGATTGGAATCACTCTTTTTATAGAATCTGCAAATGGAGATTTGGACTGCTTTGAGGCCTACGGTAGTACAGGAAGGAACTTCATATAAAAGGCAAACGGAAGCATTCTCAGAATATTCTTTGTGATGATGGAGTTTCACTCACAGAGCTGAACATGCCTTTTGATGGAGCAGTTTCCAAATACACTTTTGGTAGAATCTGCAGGTGGATATTTGGAGCTCTCTGAGGATTTCGTTGGAAACGGGAACAATTCCCCATAACTAAACACAAACACTCTGAGAAAGTTCTTCATGATGAATGCATTTAACTCGCAGAGATGAACCTGCCTTTGAGAGTTCAGGTTCGAAACACTCTTTCTGTATAATCTGCAAGTGGATATTTGGACCACTGGGTGGCCTTCGTTCGAAACGGGTATATGTTCACGTAAAAACTAAAGAGAAGCATTCTCAGAAACTTCTGAGTGATGATTGCATTCAAGTCACACAGTTGAACCCTCCTTTTGATGGAGCAGTTTTGAAACTGTCTTTTTGTAGAATCTGTAAGTGGATGCGTGGACCTCTTTGAAGATTTCTTTGGAAACGGGAATATTTCCACAGAAAAACTAAACTGAAGCATTCTCAGAAACTGCTTTGTGATGTTTGTGTTCGAGCCACAGAGTTTAACATTGCTTTTCATAGAGCAGTTTTGAAATATTCTTTTCGCAGAATCTGCAAGTGGACATTTGGAGCGCTTTCAGGCCTGTGGTGGAAAAGGCCTGAAAGCCTTTTCCTTTATCTTCACAGAAAGACGAGAGAGAAGCATTGTCAGAAACTTCTTTGTGATGATTGCATTCAACTCACAGAGTTGAAGATTCCTTTTGAAACAGCAGTTTCGAAACACTCTTTCTGTGGGATCCGCAAGGGGATATTTGGACCTCTTTGAAGGTTTCGTTGGAAACGGGATAATCTTCACCTAAAAGCTAAACGGAAGCATTCTCAGAAACTTCTTTGGGATGTTTGCATTCACCTCACAGAGTTGAAATTTCCCTTTGATAGCGCAGCTTTGACACACTTTTTCTACAATGTGCAAGTGGCTATTTAGCGGGCTTGGAGGACTGTGTTGGAAAAGGAAATATCTTCTCCTAAAAACGACATAGAAGCATTCTCAGAAACTGCTCTGTGATGATTGCATTCAACTCCCAGAGTTGAACATTCCTTTTGATAGAGCAGTTTGCAAACACTCTTTTTGTAGAATCTGCAAGTGGAGATTTGGACCGCTTTGAGGCCTGTGGTAGTGAAGGAAAGAACTTCATATAAAAACCAGACGGTAGCACTCTCAGAAAATTCTTTGTGACGATGGAGTTTAACTCATGGAGCTGAACATTCGTTATGATGGAGCAGTTTCCAAACACACGTTTTGTAGAATCTGCGAGGGGATATTTGGACCTCTCTGAGGATTTCGTTGGAAACGGGATCAACTTCCCATAACTGAACGGAAGCAAACTCAGAACATTCTTTGTGATGTTTGTATTCAACTCACAGAGTTGAACCTTCCTTTGATAGTTCAGGTTTGCAACACCCTTGTAGTAGAATCTGCAAGTGTATATTTTGACCACTTTGTAGCCTTCGTTTGAAACGTCTATATCTTCACATCAAACCTAGACAGAAGCATTCTCAGAAAGTTTTCTGCGATGACTGCATTCAACTCACAGAGTTGAACAATCCTTCTGATGGAGCAGTTTTGAAACCCTCTTTCTTTGGAATCTGCAAGGGGATATGTGGACCTCTTTGAAGATTTCACTGGAAACGGGATCATCTTCACATAAAAACTAAACAGAAGCATTCTCGGAAACTACTTTGTGATGTTTGTATTCAACTCCCAGAGTTGAACTTTCCTTTTGAAAGAGCAGCTATGAAACACTCTTTTTCGAGAATCTGCAAGTGGACGTTTGGAGGGCTTTGAGGCCTGTGGTGGAAAAGGAAATATCTTCACATAAAAACTAGATAGAAGCATTCTCAGAAACGACTTTGTGAGGATGGCATTCAACTCATGGAGTTGAACAATCCTATTGATAGAGCAGATTGGAATCACTCTTTTTGTAGAATCTGCAAATGGAGATTTGGACTGCATTGAGGCCTACGGTCGTATAGGAAGGAACTTCAGATAAAAGGCAAACGGAAGCATTCTCAGAATATTCTTTGTGATGATGGAGTTTCACTCACAGAGCTGAACATGCCTTTTGATGGAGCAGTTTCCAAATACACTTTTGGTAGAATCTGCAGGTGGATATTTGGAGCTCTCTGAGGATTTCGTTGGAAACGGGAATAATTTCCCATAACTAAACACAAACACTCTGAGAAAGTTCTTCATGATGAATGCATTTAACTAACAGAGATGAACCTGCCTTTGAGAGTTCAGGTTCGAAACACTCTTTCTGTAGAATCTGCAAGTGGATATTTGGACCACTGGGTGGCCTTCGTTCGAAACGGGTATATGTTCACGTAAAAACTAAAGAGAAGCATTCTCAGAAACTTCTGAGTGATGATTGCATTCAAGTCACACAGTTGAACCCTCCTTTTGATGGAGCAGTTTTGAAACTGTCTTTTTGTAGAATCTGTAAGTGGATACGTGGACCTCTTTGAAGATTTCTTTGGAAACGGGAATATTTCCACAGAAAAACTAAACTGAAGCATTCTCAGAAACTGCTTTGTGATGTTTGTGTTCGAGCCACAGAGTTTAACATTGCTTTTCATAGAGCAGTTTTGAAATATTCTTTTGGCAGAATCTGCAAGTGGACATTTGGAGCGCTTTCAGGCCTGTGGTTGGGAAAAGGCCTGAAAGCCTTTTCCTTTATCTTCACAGAAAGACGAGAGAGAAGCATTGTCAGAAACTTCTTTGTGATGATTGCATTCAACTCACAGAGTTGAAGATTCCTTTTGAAACAGCAGTTTCGAAACACTCTTTCTGTGGGATCCGCAAGGGGATATTTGGACCTCTTTGAAGATTTCGTTGGAAACGGGATAATCTTCACCTAAAAGCTAAACGGAAGCATTCTCAGAAACTTCTTTGGGATGTTTGCATTCACCTCACAGAGTTGAACTTTCCCTTTGATAGCGCAGCTTCGACACACTTTTTCTACAATGTGCAAGTGGATATTTAGCGGGCTTGGAGGACTGTGTTGGAAAAGGAAATATCTTCTCCTAAAAACGACATAGAAGCATTCTCAGAAACTGCTCTGTGATGATTGCATTCAACTCCCAGAGTTGAACATTCCTTTTGATAGAGCAGTTTGCAAACACTCTTTTTGTAGAATCTGCAAGTGGAGATTTGGACCGCTTTGAGGCCGGTGGTAGTAAAGGAAAGAACTTCATATAAAACTAGACGGTAGCACTCTCAGAAAATTCTTTGTGACGATGGAGTTTAACTCAGAGAGCTGAACATTCGTTATGATGGAGCAGTTTCCAAACACACGTTTTGCAGAATCTGCAAGGGGATATTTGGACCTCTCTGAGGATTTCGTTGGAAACGGGATCAACTTCCCATAACTGAACGGAAGCAAACTCAGAACATTCTTTGTGATGTTTGTATTCAACTCACAGAGTTGAACCTTCCTTTGATAGTTCAGGTTTGCAACACCCTTGTAGTAGAATCTGCAAGTGTATATTTTGACCACTTTGTAGCCTTCGTTTGAAACGTCTATATCTTCACATCAAACCTAGAAAGAAGCATTCTCAGAAAGTTTTCTGCGATGACTGCATTCAACTCACAGAGTTGAACAATCCTTCTGATGGAGCAGTTTTGAAACCCTCTTTCTTTGGAATCTGCAAGGGGATATGTGGACCTCTTTGAAGATTTCACTGGAAACGGGATCATCTTCACATAAAAACTAAACAGAAGCATTCTCGGAAACTACTTTGTGATGTTTGTATTCAACTCCCAGAGTTGAACTTTCCTTTTGAAAGAGCAGCTATGAAACACTCTTTTTCGAGAATCTGCAAGTGGACGTTTGGAAGGCTTTGAGGCCTGTGGTGGAAAAGGAAATATCTTCACATAAAAACTAGATAGAAGCATTCTCAGAAACGACTTTGTGAGGATGGCATTCAACTCATGGAGTTGAACAATCCTATTGATAGAGCAGATTGGAATCACTCTTTTTGTAGAATCTGCAAATGGAGATTTGGACTGCTTTGAGGCCTACGGTCGTATAGGAAGGAACTTCATATAAAAGGCAAACGGAAGCATTCTCAGAATATTCTTTGTGATGATGGAGTTTCACTCACAGAGCTGAACATGCCTTTTGATGGAGCAGTTTCCAAATACACTTTTGGTAGAATCTGCAGGTGGATATTTGGAGCTCTCTGAGGATTTCGTTGGAAACGGGAATAATTTCCCATAACTAAACACAAACACTCTGAGAAAGTTCTTCATGATGAATGCATTTAACTCGCAGAGATGAACCTGCCTTTGAGAGTTCAGGTTCGAAACACTCTTTCTGTAGAATCTGCAAGTGGATATTTGGACCACTGGGTGGCCTTCGTTCGAAACGGGTATATGTTCACGTAAAAACTAAAGAGAAGCATTCTCAGAAACTTCTGAGTGATGATTGCATTCAAGTCACACAGTTGAACCCTCCTTTTGATGGAGCAGTTTTGAAACTGTCTTTTTGTAGAATCTGTAAGTGGATACGTGGACCTCTTTGAAGATTTCTTTGGAAACGGGAATATTTCCACAGAAAAACTAAACTGAAACATTCTCAGAAACCGCTTTGTGATGTTTGTGTTCGAGCCACAGAGTTTAACATTGCTTTTCATAGAGCAGTTTTGAAATATTCTTTTCGCAGAATCTGCAAGTGGACATTTGGAGCGCTTTCAGGCCTGTGGTGGAAAAGGCCTGAAAGCCTTTTCCTTTATCTTCACAGAAAGACGAGAGAGAAGCATTGTCAGAAACTTCTTTGTGATGATTGCATTCAACTCACAGAGTTGAAGATTCCTTTTGAAACAGCAGTTTCGAAACACTCTTTCTGTGGGATCCGCAAGGGGATATTTGGACCTCTTTGAAGGTTTCGTTGGAAACGGGATAATCTTCACCTAAAAGCTAAACGGAAGCATTCTCAGAAACTTCTTTGGGATGTTTGCATTCACCTCACAGAGTTGAACTTTCCCTTTGATAGCGCAGCTTTGACACACTTTTTCTACAATGTGCAAGTGGCTATTTAGCGGGCTTGGAGGACTGTGTTGGAAAAGGAAATATCTTCTCCTAAAAACGACATAGAAGCATTCTCAGAAACTGCTCTGTGATGATTGCATTCAACTCCCAGAGTTGAACATTCCTTTTGATAGAGCAGTTTGCAAACACTCTTTTTGTAGAATCTGCAAGTGGAGATTTGGACCGCTTTGAGGCCTGTGGTAGTGAAGGAAAGAGCTTCATATAAAAACCAGACGGTAGCACTCTCAGAAAATTCTTTGTGACGATGGAGTTTAACTCAGGGAGCTGAACATTCGTTATGATGGAGCAGTTTCCAAACACACGTTTTGTAGAATCTGCAAGGGGATATTTGGACCTCTCTGAGGATTTCGTTGGAAACGGGATCAACTTCCCATAACTGAACGGAAGCAAACTCAGAACATTCTTTGTGATGTTTGTATTCAACTCACAGAGTTGAACCTTCCTTTGATAGTTCAGGTTTGCAACACCCTTGTAGTAGAATCTGCAAGTGTATATTTTGACCACTTTGTAGCCTTCGTTTGAAACGTCTATATCTTCACATCAAACCTAGACAGAAGCATTCTCAGAAAGTTTTCTGCGATGACTGCATTCAACTCACAGAGTTGAACAATCCTTCTGATGGAGCAGTTTTGAAACCCTCTTTCTTTGGAATCTGCAAGGGGATATGTGGACCTCTTTGAAGATTTCACTGGAAACGGGATCATCTTCACATAAAAACTAAACAGAAGCATTCTCGGAAACTACTTTGTGATGTTTGTATTCAACTCCCAGAGTTGAACTTTCCTTTTGAAAGAGCAGCTATGAAACACTCTTTTTCGAGAATCTGCAAGTGGACGTTTGGAGGGATTTGAGGCCTGTGGTGGAAAAGGAAATATCTTCACATAAAAACTAGATAGAAGCATTCTCAGAAACGACTTTGTGAGGATGGCATTCAACTCATGGAGTTGAACAATCCTATTGATAGAGCAGATTGGAATCACTCTTTTTGTAGAATCTGCAAATGGAGATTTGGACTGCTTTGAGGCCTACGGTCGTATAGGAAGGAACTTCATATAAAAGGCAAACGGAAGCATTCTCAGAATATTCTTTGTGATGATGGAGTTTCACTCACAGAGCTGAACATGCCTTTTGATGGAGCAGTTTCCAAATACACTTTTGGTAGAATCTGCAGGTGGATATTTGGACCTCTCTGAGGATTTCGTTGGAAACGGGAATAATTTCCCATAACTAAACACAAACACTCTGAGAAAGTTCTTCATGATGAATGCATTTAACTCGCAGAGATGAACCTGCCTTTGAGAGTTCATGTTCGAAACACTCTTTCTGTAGAATCTGCAAGTGGATATTTGGACCACTGGCTGGCCTTCGTTCGAAACGGGTATATGTTCACGTAAAAACTAAAGAGAAGCATTCTCAGAAACTTGTGAGTGATGATTGCATTCAAGTCACACAGTTGAACCCTCCTTTTGATGGAGCAGTTTTGAAACTGTCTTTTTGTAGAATCTGTAAGTGGATACGTGGACCTCTTTGAAGATTTCTTTGGAAACGGGAATATTTCCACAGAAAAACTAAACTGAAGCATTCTCAGAAACTGCTTTGTGATGTTTGTGTTCGAGCCACAGAGTTTAACATTGCTTTTCATAGAGCAGTTTTGAAATATTCTTTTGGCAGAATCTGCGAGTGGACATTTGGAGCGCTTTCAGGCCTGTGGTGGAAAAGGCCTGAAAGCCTTTTCCTTTATCTTCACAGAAAGACGAGAGAGAAGCATTGTCAGAAACTTCTTTGTGATGATTGCATTCAACTCACAGACTTGAAGATTCCTTTTGAAACAGCAGTTTCGAAACACTCTTTCTGTGGGATCCGCAAGGGGATATTTGGACCTTTTGAAGGTTTCGTTGGAAACGGGATAATCTTCACCTAAAAGCTAAACGGAAGCATTCTCAGAAACTTCTTTGGGATGTTTGCATTCACCTCACAGAGTTGAACTTTCCCTTTGATAGCGCAGCTTTGACACACTTTTTCTACAATGTGCAAGTGGCTATTTAGCGGGCTTGGAGGACTGTGTTGGAAAAGGAAATATCTTCTCCTAAAAACGACATAGAAGCATTCTCAGAAACTGCTCTGTGATGATTGCATTCAACTCCCAGAGTTGAACATTCCTTTTGATAGAGCAGTTTGCAAACACTCTTTTTGTAGAATCTGGAAGTGGAGATTTGGACCGCTTTGAGGCCTGTGGTAGTGAAGGAAAGAGCTTCATATAAAAACCACACGGTAGCACTCTCAGAAAATTCTTTGTGACGATGGAGTTTAACTCAGGGAGCTGAACATTCGTTATGATGGAGCAGTTTCCAAACACACGTTTTGTAGAATCTGCAAGGGGATATTTGGACCTCTCTGAGGATTTCGTTGGAAACGGGATCAACTTCCCATAACTGAACGGAAGCAAACTCAGAACATTCTTTGTGATGTTTGTATTCAACTGACGGAGTTGAACCTTCCTTTGATAGTTCAGGTTTGCAACACCCTTGTAGTAGAATCTGCAAGTGTATATTTTGACCACTTTGTAGCCTTCGTTTGAAACGTCTATATCTTCACATCAAACCTAGACAGAAGCATTCTCAGAAAGTTTTCTGCGATGACTGCATTCAACTCACAGAGTTGAACAATCCTTCTGATGGAGCAGTTTTGAAACCCTCTTTCTTTGGAATCTGCAAGGGGATATGTGGACCTCTTTGAAGATTTCACTGGAAACGGGATCATCTTCACATAAAAACTAAACAGAAGCATTCTCGGAAACTACTTTGTGATGTTTGTATTCAACTCCCAGAGTTGAACTTTCCTTTTGAAAGAGCAGCTATGAAACACTCTTTTTCGAGAATCTGCAAGTGGACGTTTGGAGGGCTTTGAGGCCTGTGGTGGAAAAGGAAATATCTTCACATAAAAACTAGATAGAAGCATTCTCAGAAACGACTTTGTGAGGATGGCATTCAACTCATGGAGTTGAACAATCCTATTGATAGAGCAGATTGGAATCACTCTTTTTGTAGAATCTGCAAATGGAGATTTGGACTGCATTGAGGCCTACGGTCGTATAGGAAGGAACTTCAGATAAAAGGCAAACGGAAGCATTCTCAGAATATTCTTTGTGATGATGGAGTTTCACTCACAGAGCTGAACATGCCTTTTGATGGAGTAGTTTCCAAATACACTTTTGGTAGAATCTGCAGGTGGATATTTGGAGCTCTCTGAGGATTTCGTTGGAAACGGGAATAATTTCCCATAACTAAACACAAACACTCTGAGAAAGTTCTTCATGATGAATGCATTTAACTCGCAGAGATGAACCTGCCTTTGAGAGTTCAGGTTCGAAACACTCTTTCTGTAGAATCTGCAAGTGGATATTTGGACCACTGGGTGGCCTTCGTTCGAAACGGGTATATGTTCACATAAAAACTAAAAAGAAGCATTCTCAGAAACTTCTGAGTGATGATTGCATTCAAGTCACATAGTTGAACCCTCCTTTTGATGGAGCAGTTTTGAAACTGTCTTTTTGTAGAATCTGTAAGTGGATACGTGGACCTCTTTGAAGATTTCTTTGGAAACGGGAATATTTCCACAGAAAAACTAAACTGAAGCATTCTCTGAAACTGCTTTGTGATGTTTGTGTTCGAGCCACAGAGTTTAACATTGCTTTTCATAGAGAAGTTTTGAAATATTCTTTTCGCAGAATCTGCAAGTGGACATTTGGAGCGCTTTCAGGCCTGTGGTGGAAAAGGCCTGAAAGCCTTTTCCTCTATCTTCACAGAAAGACGAGAGAGAAGCATTGTCAGAAACTTCTTTTTGATGATTGCATTCAACTCACAGAGTTGAAGATTCCTTTTGAAACAGCAGTTTCGAAACACTCTTTCTGTGGGATCCGCAAGGGGATATTTGGACCTCTTTGAAGGTTTCGTTGGAAACGGGATAATCTTCACCTAAAAGCTAAACGGAAGCATTCTCAGAAACTTCTTTGGGATGTTTGCATTCACCTCACAGAGTTGAACTTTCCCTTTGATAGCGCAGCTTTGACACACTTTTTCTACAATGTGCAAGTGGCTATTTAGCGGGCTTGGAGGACTGTGTTGGAAAAGGAAATATCTTCTAAAAACGACATAGAAGCATTCTCAGAAACTGCTCTGTGATGATTGCATTCAACTCCCAGAGTTGAACATTCCTTTTGATAGAGCAGTTTGCAAACACTCTTTTTGTAGAATCTGCAAGTGGAGATTTGGACCGCTTTGAGGCCTGTGGTAGTGAAGGAAAGAACTTCATATAAAAACCAGACGGTAGCACTCTCAGAAAATTCTTTGTGACGATGGAGTTTAACTCAGGGAGCTGAACATTCGTTATGATGGAGCAGTTTCCAAACACACGTTTTGTAGAATCTGCGAGGGGATATTTGGACCTCTCTGAGGATTTCGTTGGAAACGGGATCAACTTCCCATAACTGAACGGAAGCAAACTCAGAACATTCTTTGTGATGTTTGTATTCAATTCACAGAGTTGAACCTTCCTTTGATAGTTCAGGTTTGCAACACCCTTGTAGTAGAATCTGCAAGTGTATATTTTGACCACTTTGTAGCCTTCGTTTGAAACGTCTATATCTTCACATCAAACCTAGACAGAAGCATTCTCAGAAAGTTTTCTGCGATGACTGCATTCAACTCACAGAGTTGAACAATCCTTCTGATGGAGCAGTTTTGAAACCCTCTTTCTTTGGAATCTGCAAGGGGATATGTGGACCTCTTTGAAGATTTCACTGGAAACGGGATCATCTTCACATAAAAACTAAACAGAAGCATTCTCGGAAACTATTTTGTGATGTTTGTATTCAACTCCCAGAGTTGAACTTTCCTTTTGAAAGAGCAGCTATGAAACACTCTTTTTCGAGAATCTGCAAGTGGACGTTTGGAGGGCTTTGAGGCCTGTGGTGGAAAAGGAAATATCTTCACACAAAAACCAGATAGAAGCATTCTCAGAAACGACTTTGTGAGGATGGCATTCAACTCATGGAGTTGAACAATCCTATTGATAGAGCAGATTGGAATCACTCTTTTTGTAGAATCTGCAAATGGAGATTTGGACTGCTTTGAGGCCTACGGTAGTACAGGAAGGAACTTCATATAAAAGGCAAACGGAAGCATTCTCAGAATATTCTTTGTGATGATGGAGTTTCACTCACAGAGCTGAACATGCCTTTTGATGGAGCAGTTTCCAAATACACTTTTGGTAGAATCTGCAGGTGGATATTTGGAGCTCTTTGAGGATTTCGTTGGAAACGGGAATAATTTCCCATACCTAAACACAAACACGCTGAGAAAGTTCTTCATGATGAATGCATTTAACTCGCAGAGATGAACCTGCCTTTGAGAGTTCAGGTTCGAAACACTCTTTCTGTAGAATCTGCAAGTGGATATTTGGACCACTGGGTGGCCTTCGTTCGAAACGGGTATATGTTCACGTAAAAACTAAAGAGAAGCATTCTCAGCAAACTTCTGAGTGATGATTGCATTCAAGTCACACGGTTGAACCCTCCTTTTGATGGAGCAGTTTTGAAACTGTCTTTTTGTAGAATCTGTAAGTGGATACGTGGACCTCTTTGAAGATTTCTTTGGAAACGGGAATATTTCCACAGAAAAACTAAACTGAAGCATTCTCAGAAACCGCTTTGTGATGTTTGTGTTCGAGCCGCAGAGTTTAACATTGCTTTTCATAGAGCAGTTTTGAAATATTCTTTTGGCAGAATCTGCAAGTGGACATTTGGAGCGCTTTCAGGCCTGTGGTGGAAAAGGCCTGAAAGCCTTTTCCTTTATCTTCACAGAAAGACGAGAGAGAAGCATTGTCAGAAACTTCTTTGTGATGATTGCATTCAACTCACAGAGTTGAAGATTCCTTTTGAAACAGCAGTTTCGAAACACTCTTTCTGTGGGATCCGCAAGGGGATATTTGGACCTCTTTGAAGGTTTCGTTGGAAACGGGATAATCTTCACCTAAAAGCTAAACGGAAGCATTCTCAGAAACTTCTTTGGGATGTTTGCATTCACCTCACAGAGTTGAACTTTCCCTTTGATAGCGCAGCTTTGACACACTTTTTCTACAATGTGCAAGTGGCTATTTAGCGGGCTTGGAGGACTGTGTTGGAAAAGGAAATATCTTCTCCTAAAAACGACATAGAAGCATTCTCAGAAACTGCTCTGTGATGATTGCATTCAACTCCCAGAGTTGAACATTCCTTTTGATAGAGCAGTTTGCAAACACTCTTTTTGTAGAATCTGCAAGTGGAGATTTGGACCGCTTTGAGGCCTGTGGTAGTGAAGGAAAGAACTCCATATAAAAACCAGACGGTAGCACTCTCAGAAAATTCTTTGTGACGATGGAGTTTAACTCAGGGAGCTGAACATTCGTTACGATGGAGCAGTTTCCAAACACACGTTTTGTAGAATCTGCAAGGGGATATTTGGACCTCTCTGAGGATTTCGTTGGAAACGGGATCAACTTCCCATAACTGAACGGAAGCAAACTCAGAACATTCTTTGTGATGTTTGTATTCAACTCACAGAGTTGAACCTTCCTTTGATAGTTCAGGTTTGCAACACCCTTGTAGTAGAATCTGCAAGTGTATATTTTGACCACTTTGTAGCCTTCGTTTGAAACATCTATATCTTCACATCAAACCTAGACAGAAGCATTCTCAGAAAGTTTTCTGCGATGACTGCATTCAACTCACAGAGTTGAACAATCCTTCTGATGGAGCAGTTTTGAAACCCTCTTTCTTTGGAATCTGCAAGGGGATATGTGGACCTCTTTGAAGATTTCACTGGAAACGGGATCATCTTCACATAAAAACTAAACAGAAGCATTCTCGGAAACTACTTTGTGATGTTTGTATTCAACTCCCAGAGTTGAACTTTCCTTTTGAAAGAGCAGCTATGAAACACTCTTTTTCGAGAATCTGCAAGTGGACGTTTGGAGGGCTTTGAGGCCTGTGGTGGAAAAGGAAATATCTTCACATAAAAACTAGATAGAAGCATTCTCAGAAACGACTTTGTGAGGATGGCATTCAACTCATGGAGTTGAACAATCCTATTGATAGAGCAGATTGGAATCACTCTTTTTGTAGAATCTGCAAATGGAGATTTGGACTGCTTTGAGGCCTACGGTCGTATAGGAAGGAACTTCATATAAAAGGCAAACGGAAGCATTCTCAGAATATTCTTTGTGATGATGGAGTTTCACTCACAGAGCTGAACATGCCTTTTGATGGAGCAGTTTCCAAATACACTTTTGGTAGAATCTGCAGGTGGATATTTGGAGCTCTCTGAGGATTTCGTTGGAAACGGGAATAATTTCCCATAACTAAACACAAACACTCTGAGAAAGTTCTTCATGATGAATGCATTTAACTCGCAGAGATGAACCTGCCTTTGAGAGTTCAGGTTCGAAACACTCTTTCTGTAGAATCTGCAAGTGGATATTTGGACCACTGGCTGGCCTTCGTTTGAAACGGGTATATGTTCACGTAAAAACTAAAGAGAAGCATTCTCAGAAACTTCTGAGTGATGATTGCATTCAAGTCACACAGTTGAACCCTCCTTTTGATGGAGCAGTTTTGAAACTGTCTTTTTGTAGAATCTGTAAGTGGATACGTGGACCTCTTTGAAGATTTCTTTGGAAACGGGAATATTTCCACAGAAAAACTAAACTGAAGCATTCTCAGAAACTGCTTTGTGATGTTTGTGTTCGAGCCACAGAGTTTAACATTGCTTTTCATAGAGCAGTTTTGAAATATTCTTTTGGCAGAATCTGCAAGTGGACATTTGGAGCGCTTTCAGGCCTGTGGTGGAAAAGGCCTGAAAGCCTTTTCCTTTATCTTCACAGAAAGACGAGAGAGAAGCATTGTCAGAAACTTCTTTGTGATGATTGCATTCAACTCACAGAGTTGAAGATTCCTTTTGAAACAGCTGTTTCGAAACACTCTTTCTGTGGGATCCGCAAGGGGATATTTGGACCTCTTTGAAGGTTTTCGTTGGAAACGGGATAATCTTCACCTAAAAGCTAAACGGAAGCATTCTCAGAAACTTCTTTGGGATGTTTGCATTCACCTCACAGAGTTGAACTTTCCCTTTGATAGCGCAGCTTCGACACATTTTTTCTACAATGTGCAAGTGGATATTTAGCGGGCTTGGAGGACTGTGTTGGAATAGGAAATATCTTCTCCTAAAAACGACATAGAAGCATTCTCAGAAACTGCTCTGTGATGATTGCATTCAACTCCCAGAGTTGAACATTCCTTTTGATAGAGCAGTTTGCAAACACTCTTTTTGTAGAATCTGCAAGTGGAGATTTGGACCGCTTTGAGGTCTGTGGTAGTGAAGGAAAGAACTTCATATAAAAACCAGACGGTAGCACTCTCAGAAAATTCTTTGTGACGATGGAGTTTAACTCAGGGAGCTGAACATTCGTTATGATGGAGCAGTTTCCAAACACACGTTTTGTAGAATCTGCAAGGGGATATTTGGACCTCTCTGAGGATTTCGTTGGAAACGGGATCAACTTCCCATAACTGAACGGAAGCAAACTCAGAACATTCTTTGTGATGTTTGTATTCAACTCACAGAGTTGAACTTTCCTTTGATAGTTCAGGTTTGCAACACCCTTGTAGTAGAATCTGCAAGTGTATATTTTGACCACTTTGTAGCCTTCGTTTGAAACGTCTATATCTTCACATCAAACCTAGACAGAAGCATTCTCAGAAAGTTTTCTGCGATGACTGCATTCAACTCACAGAGTTGAACAATCCTTCTGATGGAGCAGTTTTGAAACCCTCTTTCTTTGGAATCTGCAAGGGGATATGTGGACCTCTTTGAAGATTTCACTGGAAACGGGATCATCTTCACATAAAAACTAAACAGAAGCATTCTCAGAAACGACTTTGTGAGGATGGCATTCAACTCATGGAGTTGAACAATCCTATTGATAGAGCAGATTGGAATCACTCTTTTTGTAGAATCTGCAAATGGAGATTTGGACTGCTTTGAGGCCTACGGTAGTATAGGAAGGAACTTCATATAAAAGGCAAACGGAAGCATTCTCATTATATTCTTTGTGATGATGGAGTTTCACTCACAGAGCTGAACATGCCTTTTGATGGAGCAATTTCCAAATACACTTTTGGTAGAATCTGCAGGTGGATATTTGGAGCTCTCTGAGGATTTCGTTGGAAACGGGAATAATTTCCCATAACTAAACACAAACACGCTGAGAAAGTTCTTCATGATGAATGCATTGAACTCGCAGAGATGAACCTGCCTTTGAGAGTTCAGGTTCGAAACACTCTTTCTGTAGAATCTGCAAGTGGATATTTGGACCACTGGCTGGCCTTCGTTCGAAACGGGTATATGTTCATGTAAAAACTAAAGAGAAGCGTTCTCATAAACTTCTGAGTGATGATTGCATTCAAGTCACACAGTTGAACCCTCCTTTTGATTGAGCAGTTTTGAAACTGTCTTTTTGTAGAATCTGTAAGTGGATGCGTGGACCTCTTTGAAGATTTCTTTCGAAACGGGAATATTTCCACAGAAAAACTAAACTGAAACATTCTCAGAAACCGCTTTGTGATGTTTGTGTTCCAGCCACAGAAGTTTAACATTGCTTTTCATAGAGCAGTTTTGAAATATTCTTTTCGCAGAATCTGCAAGTGGACATTTGGAGCGCTTTCAGGCCTGTGGTGGAAAAGGCCTGAAAGCCTTTTCCTTTATCTTCACAGAAAGACGAGAGAGAAGCATTGTCAGAAACTTCTTTGTGATGATTGCATTCAGCTCACAGAGTTGAAGATTCCTTTTGAAACAGCAGTTTCGAAACACTCTTTCTGTGGGATCCGCAAGGGGATATTTGGACCTCTTTGCAGGTTTCGTTGGAAACGGGATAATCTTCACCTAAAAGCTAAACGGAAGCATTCTCAGAAACTTCTTTGGGATGTTTGCATTCACCTCACAGAGTTGAACTTTCCCTTTGATAGCGCAGCTTTGACACACTATTTCTACAATGTGCAAGTGGCTATTTAGCGGGCTTGGAGGACGGTGTTGGAAAAGGAAATATCTTCTCCTAAAAACGACATAGAAGCATTCTCAGAAACTGCTCTGTGATGATTGCATTCAACTCCCAGAGTTGAACATTCCTTTTGATAGAGCAGTTTGCAAACACTCTTTTTGTAGAATCTGCAAGTGGAGATTTGGACCGCTTTGAGGCCTGTGGTAGTGAAGGAAAGAACTTCATATAAAAACCAGACGGTAGCACTCTCAGAAAATTCTTTGTGACGATGGAGTTTAACTCAGGGAGCTGAACATTCGTTATGATGGAGCAGTTTCCAAACACACGTTTTGTAGAATCTGCGAGGGGATATTTGGACCTCTCTGAGGATTTCGTTGGAAACGGGATCAACTTCCCATAACTGAACGGAAGCAAACTCAGAACATTCTTTGTGATGTTTGTATTCAACTCACAGAGTTGAACCTTCCTTTGATAGTTCAGGTTTGCAACACCCTTGTAGTAGAATCTGCAAGTGTATATTTTGACCACTTTGTAGCCTTCGTTTGAAACGTCTATATCTTCACATCAAACCTAGACAGAAGCATTCTCAGAAAGATTTCTGCGATGACTGCATTCAACTCACAGAGTTGAACAATCCTCTGATGGAGCAGTTTTGAAACCCTCTTTCTTTGGAATCTGCAAGGGGATATGTGGACCTCTTTGAAGATTTCACTGGAAACGGGATCATCTTCACATAAAAACTAAACAGAAGCATTCTCGGAAACTATTTTGTGATGTTTGTATTCAACTCCCAGAGTTGAACTTTCCTTTTGAAAGAGCAGCTATGAAACACTCTTTTTCGAGAATCTGCAAGTGGACGTTTGGAGGGCTTTGAGGCCTGTGGTGGAAAAGGAAATATCTTCACACAAAAACCAGATAGAAGCATTCTCAGAAACTACTTTGTGAGGATGGCATTCAACTCATGGAGTTGAACAATCCTATTGATAGAGCAGATTGGAATCACTCTTTTTATAGAATCTGCAAATGGAGATTTGGACTGCTTTGAGGCCTACGGTAGTACAGGAAGGAACTTCATATAAAAGGCAAACGGAAGCATTCTCAGAATATTCTTTGTGATGATGGAGTTTCACTCACAGAGCTGAACATGCCTTTTGATTGAGCAGTTTCCAAATACACTTTTGGTAGAATCTGCAGGTGGATATTTGGAGCTCTCTGAGGATTTCGTTGGAAACGGGAATAATTTCCCATAACTAAACACAAACACTCTGAGAAAGTTCTTCATGATGAATGCATTTAACTCGCAGAGATGAACCTGCCTTTGAGAGTTCAGGTTCGAAACACTCTTTCTGTATAATCTGCAAGTGGATATTTGGACCACTGGGTGGCCTTCGTTCGAAACGGGTATATGTTCACGTAAAAACTAAAGAGAAGCATTCTCAGAAACTTCTGAGTGATGATTGCATTCAAGTCACACGGTTGAACCCTCCTTTTGATGGAGCAGTTTTGAAACTGTCTTTTTGTAGAATCTGTAAGTGGATACGTGGACCTCTTTGAAGATTTCTTTGGAAACGGGAATATTTCCACAGAAAAACTAAACTGAAGCATTCTCAGAAACTGCTTTGTGATGTTTGTGTTCGAGCCACAGAGTTTAACATTGCTTTTCATAGAGCAGTTTTGAAATATTCTTTTCGCAGAATCTGCAAGTGGACATTTGGAGCGCTTTCAGGCCTGTGGTGGCAAAGGCCTGAAAGCCTTTTCCTTTATCTTCACAGAAAGACGAGAGAGAAGCATTGTCAGGAAACTTCTTTGTGATGATTGCATTCAACTCACAGAGTTGAAGATTCCTTTTGAAACAGCAGTTTCGAAACACTCTTTCTGTGGGATCCGCAAGGGGATATTTGGACCTCTTTGAAGGTTTCGTTGGAAACGGGATAATCTTCACCTAAAAGCTAAACGGAAGCATTCTCAGAAACTTCTTTGGGATGTTTGCATTCACCTCACAGAGTTGAACTTTCCCTTTGATAGCGCAGCTTTGACACACTTTTTCTACAATGTGCAAGTGGCTATTTAGCGGGCTTGGAGGACTGTGTTGGAAAAGGAAATATCTTCTCCTAAAAACGACATAGAAGCATTCTCAGAAACTGCTCTGTGATGATTGCATTCAACTCCCAGAGTTGAACATTCCTTTTGATAGAGCAGTTTGCAAACACTCTTTTTGTAGAATCTGCAAGTGGAGATTTGGACCGCTTTGAGGCCTGTGGTAGTGAAGGAAAGAACTTCATATAAAAACCAGACGGTAGCACTCTCAGAAAATTCTTTGTGACGATGGAGTTTAACTCAGGGAGCTGAACATTCGTTATGATGGAGCAGTTTCCAAACACACGTTTTGTAGAATCTGCAAGGGGATATTTGGACCTCTCTGAGGATTTCGTTGGAAACGGGATCAACTTCCCATAACTGAACGGAAGCAAACTCAGAACATTCTTTGTGATGTTTGTATTCAACTCACAGAGTTGAACCTTCCTTTGATAGTTCAGGTTTGCAACACCCTTGTAGTAGAATCTGCAAGTGTATATTTTGACCACTTTGTAGCCTTCGTTTGAAACGTCTATATCTTCACATCAAACCTAGAAAGAAGCATTCTCAGAAAGTTTTCTGCGATGACTGCATTCAACTCACAGAGTTGAACAATCCTTCTGATGGAGCAGTTTTGAAACCCTCTTTCTTTGGAATCTGCAAGGGGATATGTGGACCTCTTTGAAGATTTCACTGGAAACGGGATCATCTTCACATAAAAACTAAACAGAAGCATTCTCGGAAACTACTTTGTGATGTTTGTATTCAACTGCCAGAGTTGAACTTTCCTTTTGAAAGAGCAGCTATGAAACACTCTTTTTCGAGAATCTGCAAGTGGACGTTTGGAGGGCTTTGAGGCCTGTGGTGGAAAAGGAAATATCTTCACATAAAAACTAGATAGAAGCATTCTCAGAAACGACTTTGTGAGGATGGCATTCAACTCATGGAGTTGAACAATCCTATTGATAGAGCAGATTGGAATCACTCTTTTTGTAGAATCTGCAAATGGAGATTTGGACTGCTTTGAGGCCTACGGTCGTATAGGAAGGAACTTCATATAAAAGGCAAACGGAAGCATTCTCAGAATATTCTTTGTGATGATGGAGTTTCACTCACAGAGCTGAACATGCCTTTTGATGGAGCAGTTTCCAAATACACTTTTGGTAGAATCTGCAGGTGGATATTTGGACCTCTCTGAGGATTTCGTTGGAAACGGGAATAATTTCCCATACCTAAACACAAACACTCTGAGAAAGTTCTTCATGATGAATGCATTGAACTCGCAGAGATGAACCTGCCTTTGAGAGTTCAGGTTCGAAACACTCTTTCTGTAGAATCTGCAAGTGGATATTTGGACCACTGGCTGGCCTTCGTTCGAAACGGGTATATGTTCACGTAAAAACTAAAGAGAAGCATTCTCAGAAACTTCTGAGTGATGATTGCATTCAAGTCACACGGTTGAACCCTCCTTTTGATTGAGCAGTTTTGAAACTGTCTTTTTGTAGAATCTGTAAGTGGATACGTGGACCTCTTTGAAGATTTCTTTGGAAACGGGAATATTTCCACAGAAAAACTAAACTGAAGCATTCTCAGAAACTGCTTTGTGATGTTTGTGTTCGAGCCGCAGAGTTTAACATTGCTTTTCATAGAGCAGTTTTGAAATATTCTTTTGGCAGAATCTGCAAGTGGACATTTGGAGCGCTTTCAGGCCTGTGGGTGGAAAAGGCCTGAAAGCCTTTTCCTTTATCTTCACAGAAAGACGAGAGAGAAGCATTGTCAGAAACTTCTTTGTGATGATTGCATTCAACTCACAGAGTTGAAGATTCCTTTTGAAACAGCAGTTTCGAAACACTCTTTCTGTGGGATCCGCAGGGGGATATTTGGACCTCTTTGAAGATTTCGTTGGAAACGGGATAATCTTCACCTAAAAGCTAAACGGAAGCATTCTCAGAAACTTCTTTGGGATGTTTGCATTCACCTCACAGAGTTGAACTTTCCCTTTGATAGCGCAGCTTCGACACACTTTTTCTACAATGTGCAAGTGGATATTTAGCGGGCTTGGAGGACTGTGTTGGAAAAGGAAATATCTTCTCCTAAAAACGACATAGAAGCATTCTCAGAAACTGCTCTGTGATGATTGCATTCAACTCCCAGAGTTGAACATTCCTTTTGATAGAGCAGTTTGCAAACACTTTTTTGTAGAATCTGCAAGTGGAGATTTGGACCGCTTTGAGGCCTGTGGTAGTAAAGGAAAGAACTTCATATAAAAACTAGACGGTAGCACCCTCAGAAAATTCTTTGTGACGATGGAGTTTAACTCAGAGAGCTGAACATTCGTTATGATGGAGCAGTTTCCAAACACACGTTTTGTAGAATCTGCAAGGGGATATTTGGACCTCTCTGAGGATTTCGTTGGAAACGGGATCAACTTCCCATAACTGAACGGAAGCAAACTCAGAACATTCTTTGTGATGTTTGTATTCAACTCACAGAGTTGAACCTTCCTTTGATAGTTCAGGTTTGCATCACCCTTGTAGTAGAATCTGCAAGTGTATATTTTGACCACTTTGTAGCCTTCGTTTGAAACGTCTATATCTTCACATCAAACCTAGACAGAAGTATTCTCAGAAAGTTTTCTGCGATGACAGCATTCAACTCACAGAGTTGAACAATCCTTTTGATGGAGCAGTTTTGAAACCCTCTTTCTTTGGAATCTGCAAGGGGATATGTGGACCTCTTTGAAGATTTCACTGGAAACGGGATCATCTTCACATAAGAACTAAACAGAAGCATTCTCGGAAACTACTTTGTGATGTTTGTATTCAACTCCCAGAGTTGAACTTTCCTTTTGAAAGAGCAGCTATGAAACACTCTTTTTCGAGAATCTGCAAGTGGACGTTTGGAGGGCTTTGAGGCCTGTGGTGGAAAAGGAAATATCTTCACATAAAAACTAGATAGAAGCATACTCAGAAACGACTTTGTGAGGATGGCATTCAACTCATGGAGTTGAACAATCCTATTGATAGAGCAGATTGGAATCACTCTTTTTGTAGAATCTGCAAATGGAGATTTGGACTGCTTTGAGGCCTACGGTAGTATAGGAAGGAACTTCATATAAAAGGCAAACGGAAGCATTCTCAGAATATTCTTTGTGATGATGGAGTTTCACTCACAGAGCTGAACATGCCTTTTGATGGAGCAGTTTCCAAATACACTTTTGGTAGAATCTGCAGGTGGATATTTGGACCTCTCTGAGGATTTCGTTGGAAACGGCAATAATTTCCCATAACTAAACACAAACACGCTGAGAAAGTTCTTCATGTTGAATGCATTGAACTCGCAGAGATGAACCTGCCTTTGAGAGTTCAGGTTCGAAACACTCTTTCTGTAGAATCTGCAAGTGGATATTTGGACCACTGGGTGGCCTTCGTTCGAAACGGGTATATGTTCACGTAAAAACTAAAGAGAAGCATTCTCAGAAACTTCTGAGTGATGATTGCATTCAAGTCACACGGTTGAACCCTCCTTTTGATTGAGCAGTTTTGAAACTGTCTTTTTGTAGAATCTGTAAGTGGATGCGTGGACCTCTTTGAAGATTTCTTTCGAAACGGGAATATTTCCACAGAAAAACTAAACTGAAGCATTCTCAGAAACTGCTTTGTGATGTTTGTGTTCGAGCCACAGAGTTTAACATTGCTTTTCATAGAGCAGTTTTGAAATATTCTTTTGGCAGAATCTGCAAGTGGACATTTGGAGCGCTTTCAGGCCTGTGGTGGAAAAGGCCTGAAAGCCTTTTCCTTTATCTTCACAGAAAGACGAGAGAGAAGCATTGTCAGAAACTTCTTTGTGATGATTGCATTCAACTCACAGAGTTGAAGATTCCTTTTGAAACAGCAGTTTCGAAACACTCTTTCTGTGGGATCCGCAAGGGGATATTTGGACCTCTTTGAAGATTTCGTTGGAAACGGGATAATCTTCACCTAAAAGCTAAACGGAAGCATTCTCAGAAACTTCTTTGGGATGTTTGCATTCACCTCACAGAGTTGAACTTTCCCTTTGATAGCGCAGCTTCGACACTCTTTTTCTACAATGTGCAAGTGGATATTTAGCGGGCATGGAGGACTGTGTTGGAAAAGGAAATATCTTCTCCTAAAAACGACATAGAAGCATTCTCAGAAACTGCTCTGTGATGATTGCATTCAACTCCCAGAGTTGAACATTCCTTTTGATAGAGCAGTTTGCAAACACTCTTTTTGTAGAATCTGCAAGTGGAGATTTGGACCGCTTTGAGGCCTGTGGTAGTGAAGGAAAGAACTTCATATAAAAACCAGACGGTAGCACTCTCAGAAAATTCTTTGTGACGATGGAGTTTAACTCAGGGAGCTGAACATTCGTTATGATGGAGCAGTTTCCAAACACACGTTTTGTAGAATCTGCAAGGGGATATTTGGACCTCTCTGAGGATTTCGTTGGAAACGGGATCAACTTCCCATAACTGAACGGAAGCAAACTCAGAACATTCTTTGTGATGTTTGTATTCAACTCACAGAGTTGAACCTTCCTTTGATAGTTCAGGTTTGCAACACCCTTGTAGTAGAATCTGCAAGTGTATATTTTGATCACTTTGTAGCCTTCGTTTGAAACGTCTATATCTTCACATCAAACCTAGACAGAAGCATTCTCAGAAAGTTTTCTGCGATGACTGCATTCAACTCACAGAGTTGAAGAATCCTTTTGATGGAGCAGTTTTGAAACCCTCTTTCTTTGGAATCTGCAAGGGGATATGTGGACCTCTTTGAAGATTTCACTGGAAACGGGATCATCTTCACATAAAAACTAAACAGAAGCATTCTCGGAAACTATTTTGTGATGTTTGTATTCAACTCCCAGAGTTGAACTTTCCTTTTGAAAGAGCAGCTATGAAACACTCTTTTTCGAGAATCTGCAAGTGGACGTTTGGAGGGCTTTGAGGCCTGTGGTGGAAAAGGAAATATCTTCACACAAAAACCAGATAGAAGCATTCTCAGAAACGACTTTGTGAGGATGGCATTCAACTCATGGAGTTGAACAATCCTATTGATAGAGCAGATTGGAATCACTCTTTTTGTAGAATCTGCAAATGGAGATTTGGACTGCTTTGAGGCCTACGGTAGTACAGGAAGGAACTTCATATAAAAGGCAAACGGAAGCATTCTCAGAATATTCTTTGTGATGATGGAGTTTCACTCACAGAGCTGAACATGCCTTTTGATGGAGCAGTTTCCAAATACACTTTTGGTAGAATCTGCAGGTGGATATTTGGAGCTCTCTGAGGATTTCGTTGGAAACGGGAATAATTTCCCATACCTAAACACAAACACGCTGAGAAAGTTCTTCATGATGAATGCATTTAACTCGCAGAGATGAACCTGCCTTTGAGAGTTCAGGTTCGAAACACTCTTTCTGTAGAATCTGCAAGTGGATATTTGGACCACTGGGTGGCCTTCGTTCGAAACGGGTATATGTTCACGTAAAAACTAAAGAGAAGCATTCTCAGAAACTTCTGAGTGATGATTGCATTGAAGTCACACAGTTGAACCCTCCTTTTGATGGAGCAGTTTTGAAACTGTCTTTTTGTAGAATCTGTAAGTGGATACGTGGACCTCTTTGAAGATTTCTTTGGAAACGGGAATATTTCCACAGAAAAACTAAACTGAAGCATTCTCAGAAACCGCTTTGTGATGTTTGTGTTCGAGCCGCAGAGTTTAACATTGCTTTTCATAGAGCAGTTTTGAAATATTCTTTTGGCAGAATCTGCAAGTGGACATTTGGAGCGCTTTCAGGCCTGTGGTGGAAAAGGCCTGAAAGCCTTTTCCTTTATCTTCACAGAAAGACGAGAGAGAAGCATTGTCAGAAACTTCTTTGTGATGATTGCATTCAACTCACAGAGTTGAAGATTCCTTTTGAAACAGCAGTTTCGAAACACTCTTTCTGTGGGATCCGCAAGGGGATATTTGGACCTCTTTGAAGGTTTCGTTGGAAACGGGATAATCTTCACCTAAAAGCTAAACGGAAGCATTCTCAGAAACTTCTTTGGGATGTTTGCATTCACCTCACAGAGTTGAACTTTCCCTTTGATAGCGCAGCTTTGACACACTTTTTCTACAATGTGCAAGTGGCTATTTAGCGGGCTTGGAGGACTGTGTTGGAAAAGGAAATATCTTCTCCTAAAAACGACATAGAAGCATTCTCAGAAACTGCTCTGTGATGATTGCATTCAACTCCCAGAGTTGAACATTCCTTTTGATAGAGCAGTTTGCAAACACTCTTTTTGTAGAATCTGCAAGTGGAGATTTGGACCGCTTTGAGGCCTGTGGTAGTGAAGGAAAGAACTTCATATAAAAACCAGACGGTAGCACTCTCAGAAAATTCTTTGTGACGATGGAATTTAACTCAGGGAGCTGAACATTCGTTATGATGGAGCAGTTTCCAAACACACGTTTTGTAGAATCTGCAAGGGGATATTTGGACCTCTCTGAGGATTTCGTTGGAAACGGGATCAACTTCCCATAACTGAACTGAAGCAAACTCAGAACATTCTTTGTGATGTTTGTATTCAACTCACAGAGTTGAACCTTCCTTTGATAGTTCAGGTTTGCAACACCCTTGTAGTAGAATCTGCAAGTGTATATTTTCACCACTTTGTAGCCTTCATTTGAAACGTCTATATCTTCACATCAAACCTAGACAGAAGCATTCTCAGAAAGTTTTCTGCGATGACTGCATTCAACTCACAGAGTTGAACAATCCTTTTGATGGAGCAGTTTTGAAACCCTCTTTCTTTGGAATCTGCAAGGGGATATGTGGACCTCTTTGAAGATTTCACTGGAAACGGGATCATCTTCACATAAGAACTAAACAGAAGCATTCTCGGAAACTACTTTGTGATGTTTGTATTCAACTCCCAGGAGTTGAACTTTCCTTTTGAAAGAGCAGCTATGAAACACTCTTTTTCGAGAATCTACAAGTGGACGTTTGGAGGGCTTTGAGGCCTGTGGTGGAAAAGGAAATATCTTCACATAAAAACTAGATAGAAGCATTCTCAGAAACGACTTTGTGAGGATGGCATTCAACTCATGGAGTTGAACAATCCTATTGATAGAGCAGATTGGAATCACTCTTTTTGTAGAATCTGCAAATGGAGATTTGGACTGCTTTGAGGCCTACGGTCGTATAGGAAGGAACTTCATATAAAAGGCAAACGGAAGCATTCTCAGAATATTCTTTGTGATGATGGAGTTTCACTCACAGAGCTGAACATGCCTTTTGATGGAGCAGTTTCCAAATACACTTTTGGTAGAATCTGCAGGTGGATATTTGGAGCTCTCTGAGGATTTCGTTGGAAACGGGAATAATTTCCCATAACTAAACACAAACACTCTGAGAAAGTTCTTCATGATGAATGCATTTAACTCGCAGAGATGAACCTGCCTTTGAGAGTTCAGGTTCGAAACACTCTTTCTGTAGAATCTGCAAGTGGATATTTGGACCACTGGCTGGCCTTCGTTCGAAACGGGTATATGTTCACGTAAAAACTAAAGAGAAGCATTCTCAGAAACTTCTGAGTGATGATTGCATTCAAGTCACACGGTTGAACCCTCCTTTTGATGGAGCAGTTTTGAAACTGTCTTTTTGTAGAATCTGTAAGTGGATACGTGGACCTCTTTGAAGATTTCTTTGGAAACGGGAATATTTCCACAGAAAAACTAAACTGAAGCATTCTCAGAAACCGCTTTGTGATGTTTGTGTTCGAGCCACAGAGTTTAACATTGCTTTTCATAGAGCAGTTTTGAAATATTCTTTTCGCAGAATCTGCAAGTGGACATTTGGAGCGCTTTCAGGCCTGTGGTGGAAAAGGCCTGAAAGCCTTTTCCTTTATCTTCACAGAAAGACGAGAGAGAAGCATTGTCAGAAACTTCTTTGTGATGATTGCATTCAACTCACAGAGTTGAAGATTCCTTTTGAAACAGCAGTTTCGAAACACTCTTTCTGTGGGATCCGCAAGGGGATATTTGGACCTCTTTGAAGGTTTCGTTGGAAACGGGATAATCTTCACCTAAAAGCTAAACGGAAGCATTCTCAGAAACTTCTTTGGGATGTTTGCATTCACCTCACAGAGTTGAACTTTCCCTTTGATAGCGCAGCTTTGACACACGTTTTCTACAATGTGCAAGTGGCTATTTAGCGGGCTTGGAGGACTGTGTTGGAAAAGGAAATATCTTCTCCTAAAAACGACATAGAAGCATTCTCAGAAACTGCTCTGTGATGATTGCATTCAACTCCCAGAGTTGAACATTCCTTTTGATAGAGCAGTTTGCAAACACTCTTTTTGTAGAATCTGCAAGTGGAGATTTGGACCGCTTTGAGGCCTGTGGTAGTGAAGGAAAGAGCTTCATATAAAAACCAGACGGTAGCACTCTCAGAAAATTCTTTGTGACGATGGAGTTTAACTCAGGGAGCTGAACATTCGTTATGATGGAGCAGTTTCCAAACACACGTTTTGTAGAATCTGCAAGGGGATATTTGGACCTCTCTGAGGATTTCGTTGGAAACGGGATCAACTTCCCATAACTGAACGGAAGCAAACTCAGAACATTCTTTGTGATGTTTGTATTCAACTCAGAGTTGAACCTTCCTTTGATAGTTCAGGTTTGCAACACCCTTGTAGTAGAATCTGCAAGTGTATATTTTGACCACTTTGTAGCCTTCGTTTGAAACGTCTATATCTTCACATCAAACCTAGACAGAAGCATTCTCAGAAAGTTTTCTGCGATGACTGCATTCAACTCACAGAGTTGAACAATCCTTCTGATGGAGCAGTTTTGAAACCCTCTTTCTTTGGAATCTGCAAGGGGATATGTGGACCTCTTTGAAGATTTCACTGGAAACGGGATCATCTTCACATAAAAACTAAACAGAAGCATTCTCGGAAACTACTTTGTGATGTTTGTATTCAACTCCCAGAGTTGAACTTTCCTTTTGAAAGAGCAGCTATGAAACACTCTTTTTCGAGAATCTGCAAGTGGACGTTTGGAGGGCTTTGAGGCCTGTGGTGGAAAAGGAAATATCTTCACATAAAAACTAGATAGAAGCATTCTCAGAAACTACTTTGTGAGGATGGCATTCAACTCATGGAGTTGAACAATCCTATTGATAGAGCAGATTGGAATCACTCTTTTTGTAGAATCTGCAAATGGAGATTTGGACTGCTTTGAGGCCTACGGTAGTATAGGAAGGAACTTCATATAAAAAGCAAACGGAAGCATTCTCAGAATATTCTTTGTGATGATGGAGTTTCACTCACAGAGCTGAACATGCCTTTTGATGGAGCAGTTTCCAAATACACTTTTGGTAGAATCTGCAGGTGGATATTTGGAGCTCTCTGAGGATTTCGTTGGAAACGGGAATAATTTCCCATAACTAAACACAAACACTCTGAGAATGTTCTTCATGATGAATGCATTTAACTCGCAGAGATGAACCTGCCTTTGAGAGTTCAGGTTCGAAACACTCTTTCTGTAGAATCTGCAAGTGGATATTTGGACCACTGGGTGGCCTTCGTTCGAAACGGGTATATGTTCACGTAAAAACTAAAGAGAAGCGTTCTCAGAAACTTCTGAGTGATGATTGCATTCAAGTCACACAGTTGAACCCTCCTTTTGATTGAGCAGTTTTGAAACTGTCTTTTTGTAGAATCTGTAAGTGGATACGTGGACCTCTTTGAAGATTTCTTTGGAAACGGGAATATTTCCACAGAAAATCTAAACTGAAGCATTCTCAGAAACTGCTTTGTGATGTTTGTGTTCGAGCCACAGAGTTTAACATTGCTTTTCATAGAGCAGTTTTCAAATATTCTTTTGGCAGAATCTGCAAGTGGACATTTGGAGCGCTTTCAGGCCTGTGGTGGAAAAGGCCTGAAAGCCTTTTCCTTTATCTTCACAGAAAGACGAGAGAGAAGCATTGTCAGAAACTTGTTTGTGATGATTGCATTCAACTCACAGAGTTGAAGATTCCTTTTGAAACAGCAGTTTCGAAACACTCTTTCTGTGGGATCCGCAAGGGGATATTTGGACCTCTTTGAAGATTTCGTTGCAAACGGGATAATCTTCACCTAAAAGCTAAACGGAAGCATTCTCAGAAACTTCTTTGGGATGTTTGCATTCACCTCACAGAGTTGAATTTTCCCTTTGATAGCGCAGCTTCGACACACTTTTTCTACAATGTGCAAGTGGATAGTTAGCGGGCTTGGAGGACTGTGTTGGAAAAGGAAATATCTTCTCCTAAAAACGACATAGAAGCATTCTCAGAAACTGCTCTGTGATGATTGCATTCAACTCCCAGAGTTGAACATTCCTTTTGATAGAGCAGTTTGCAAACACTCTTTTTGTAGAATCTGCAAGTGGAGATTTGGACCGCTTTGAGGCCTGTGGTAGTAAAGGAAACAACTTCATATAAAAACCAGAGGGTAGCACTCTCAGAAAATTCTTTGTGACGATGGAGTTTAACTCAGAGAGCTGAACATCCGTTATGATGGAGCAGTTTCCAAACACACGTTTTGTAGAATCTGCAAGGGGATATTTGGACCTCTCTGAGGATTTCGTTGGAAACGGGATCAACTTCCCATAACTGAACGGAAGCAAACTCAGAACATTCTTTGTGATGTTTGTATTCAACTCACAGAGTTGAACCTTCCTTTTATAGTTGAGGTTTGCATCACCCTTGTAGTAGAATCTGCAAGTGTATATTTTGACCACTTTGTAGCCTTCGTTTGAAACGTCTATATCTTCACATCAAACCTAGACAGAAGCATTCTCAGAAAGTTTTCTGCGATGACTGCATTCAACTCACAGAGTTGCACAATCCTTTTGATGGAGCAGTTTTGAAACCCTCTTTCTTTGGAATCTGCAAGGGGATATATGGACCTCTTTGAAGATTTCACTGGAAACGGGATCATCTTCACATAACAACTAAACAGAAGCATTCTCGGAAACTAGTTTGAGATGTTTGTATTCAACTCCCAGAGTTGAACTTTCCTTTTGAAAGAGCAGCTATGAAACACTCTTTTTCGAGAATCTGCAAGTGGACGTTTGGAGGGCTTTGAGGCCTGTGGTGGAAAAGGAAATATCTTCACATAGAAACTAGATAGAAGCATTCTCAGAAACTACTTTGTGAGGATGGCATTCAACTCATGGAGTTGAACAATCCTATTGATAGAGCAGATTGGAATCACTCTTTTTGTAGAATCTGCAAATGGAGATTTGGACTGCTTTGAGGCCTACGGTAGTACAGGAAGGAAGTTCATATAAAAGGCAAACGGAAGCATTCTCAGAATATTCTTTGTGATGATGGAGTTTCACTCACAGAGCTGAACATGCCTTTTGATGGAGCAGTTTCCAAATACACTTTTGGTAGAATCTGCAGGTGGATATTTGGACCTCTCTGAGGATTTCGTTGGAAACGGCAATAATTTCCCATACCTAAACACAAACACTCTGAGAAAGTTCTTCATGATGAATGCATTGAACTCGCAGAGATGAACCTGCCTTTGAGAGTTCAGGTTCGAAACACTCTTTCTGTAGAATCTGCAAGTGGATATTTGGACCACTGGGTGGCCTTCGTTCGAAACGGGTATATGTTCACGTAAAAACTAAAGAGAAGCATTCTCAGAAACTTCTGAGTGATGATTGCATTCAAGTCACACGGTTGAACCCTCCTTTTGATTGAGCAGTTTTGAAACTGTCTTTTTGTAGAATCTGTAAGTGGATACGTGGACCTCTTTGAAGATTTCTTTGGAAACGGGAATATTTCCACAGAAAAACTAAACTGAAGCATTCTCAGAAACTGCTTTGTGATGTTTGTGTTCGAGCCACAGAGTTTAACATTGCTTTTCATAGAACAGTTTTGAAATATTCTTTTGGCAGAATCTGCAAGTGGACATTTGGAGCGCTTTCAGGCCTGTGGTGGAAAAGGCCTGAAAGCCTTTTCCTTTCTCTTCACAGAAAGACGAGAGAGAAGCATTGTCAGAAACTTCTTTGTGATGATTGCATTCAACTCACAGAGTTGAAGATTCCTTTTGAAACAGCAGTTTCGAAACACTCTTTCTGTGGGATCCGCAAGGGGATATTTGGACCTCTTTGAAGGTTTCGTTGGAAACGGGATAATCTTCACCTAAAAGCTAAACGGAAGCATTCTCAGAAACTTCTTTGGGATGTTTGCATTCACCTCACAGAGTTGAACTTTCCCTTTGATAGCGCAGCTTTGACACACTTTTTCTACAATGTGCAAGTGGCTATTTAGCGGGCTTGGAGGACTGTGTTGGAAAAGGAAATATCTTCTCCTAAAAACGACATAGAAGCATTCTCAGAAACTGCTCTGTGATGATTGCATTCAACTCCCAGAGTTGAACATTCCTTTTGATAGAGCAGTTTGCAAACACTCTTTTTGTAGAATCTGCAAGTGGAGATTTGGACCGCTTTGAGGCCTGGGGTAGTGAAGGAAAGAGCTTCATATAAAAACCAGACGGTAGCACTCTCAGAAAATTCTTTGTGACGATGGAGTTTAACTCAGGGAGCTGAACATTCGTTATGATGGAGCAGTTTCCAAACACACGTTTTGTAGAATCTGCAAGGGGATATTTGGACCTCTCTGAGGATTTCGTTGGAAACGGGATCAACTTCCCATAACTGAACGGAAGCAAACTCAGAACATTCTTTGTGATGTTTGTATTCAACTCACAGAGTTGAACCTTCCTTTGATAGTTCAGGTTTGCAACACCCTTGTAGTAGAATCTGCAAGTGTATATTTTGACCACTTTGTAGCCTTCGTTTGAAACGTCTATATCTTCACATCAAACCTAGAAAGAAGCATTCTCAGAAAGTTTTCTGCGATGACTGCATTCAACTCACAGAGTTGAACAATCCTTTTGATGGAGCAGTTTTGAAACCCTCTTTCTTTGGAATCTGCAAGGGGATATGTGGACCTCTTTGAAGATTTCACTGGAAACGGGATCATCTTCACATAAAAACTAAACAGAAGCATTCACGGAAACTACTTTGTGATGTTTGTATTCAACTCCCAGAGTTGAACTTTCCTTTTGAAAGAGCAGCTATGAAACACTCTTTTTCGAGAATATGCAAGTGGACGTTTGGAGGGCTTTGAGGCCTGTGGTGGAAAAGGAAATATCTTCACATAAAAACTACATAGAAACATTCTCAGAAACGACTTTGTGAGGATGGCATTCAACTCATGGGAGTTGAACAATCCTATTGATAGAGCAGATTGGAATCACTCTTTTTGTAGAATCTGCAAATGGAGATTTGGACTGCTTTGAGGCCTACGGTAGTATAGGAAGGAACTTCATATAAAAGGCAAACGGAAGCATTCTCAGAATATTCTTTGTGATGACGGAGTTTCACTCACAGAGCTGAACATGCCTTTTCATGGAGCAGTTTCCAAATACACTTTTGGTACAATCTGCAGGTGGATATTTGGAGCTCTCTGAGGATTTCGTTGGAAACGGGAATAATTTCCCATAACTAAACACAAACACGCTGAGAAAGTTCTTCATGATGAATGCATTTAACTCGCAGAGATGAACCTGCCTTTGAGAGTTCAGGTTCAAAACACTCTTTCTGTAGAATCTGCAAGTGGATATTTGGACCACTGGCTGGCCTTCGTTCGAAACGGGTATATGTTCACGTAAAAACTAAAGAGAAGCGTTCTCAGAAACTTCTGAGTGATGAATGCATTCAAGTCACACAGTTGAACCCTCCTTTTGATTGAGCAGTTTTGAAACTGTCTTTTTGTAGAATCTGTAAGTGGATGCATGGACCTCTTTGAAGATTTCTTTGGAAACGGGAATATTTCCACAGAAAAACTAAACTGAAGCATTCTCAGAAACTGCTTTGTGATGTTTGTGTTCGAGCCGCAGAGTTTAACATTGCTTTTCATAGAGCAGTTTTGAAATATTCTTTTGGCAGAATCTGCAAGTGGACATTTGGAGCGCTTTCAGGCCTGTGGTGGAAATGGCCTGAAAGCCTTTTCCTTTATCTTCACAGAAAGACGAGAGAGAAGCATTGTCAGAAACTTCTTTGTGATGATTGCATTCAACTCACAGAGTTGAAGATTCCTTTTGAAACAGCAGTTTCGAAACACTCTTTCTGTGGGATCCGCAAGGGGATATTTGGACCTCTTTGAAGATTTCGTTGGAAACGGGATAATCTTCACTTAAAGCTAAACGGAAGCATTCTCAGAAACTTCTTTGGGATGTTTGCATTCACCTCACAGAGTTGAACTTTCCCTTTGATAGCGCAGCTTCGACACACTTTTTCTACAATGTGCAAGTGGATATTTAGCGGGCTTGGAGGACTGTGTTGGAAAAGGAAATATCTTCTCCTAAAAACGACATAGAAGCATTCTCAGAAACTGCTCTGTGATGATTGCATTCAACTCCCAGAGTTGAACATTCCTTTTGATAGAGCAATTTGCAAACACTCTTTTTGTAGAATCTGCAAGTGGAGATTTGGACCGCTTTGAGGCCTGTGGTAGTAAAGGAAAGAACTTCATATAAAAAGTAGACGGTAGCAGTCTCAGAAAATTCTTTGTGACGATGGAGTTTAACTCAGAGAGCTGAACATTCGTTATGATGGAGCAGTTTCCAAACACACGTTTTGTAGAATCTGCAAGGGGATATTTGGACCTCTCTGAGGATTTCGTTGGAAACGGGATCAACTTCCCATAACTGAACGGAAGCAAACTCAGAACATTCTTTGTGATGTTTGTATTCAACTCACAGAGTTGAACCTTCCTTTGATAGTTGAGGTTTGCAACACCCTTGTAGTAGAATCTGCAAGTGTATATTTTGACCACTTTTTAGCCTTCGTTTGAAACGTCTATATCTTCACCTCAAACCTAGACAGAAGCATTCTCAGAAAGTTTTCTGCGATGACTGCATTCAACTCACAGAGTTGAACAATCCTTTTGATGGAGCAGTTTTGAAACCCTCTTTCTTTGGAATCTGCAAGGGGATATGTGGACCTCTTTGAAGATTTCACTGGAAACGGGATCATCTTCACATAAGAACTAAACAGAAGCATTCTCGGAAACTACTTTGTGATGTTTGTATTCAACTCCCAGAGTTGAACTTTCCTTTTGAAAGAGCAGCTATGAAACACTCTTTTTCGAGAATCTGCAAGTGGACGTTTGGAGGGCTTTGAGGCCTGTGGTGGAAAAGGAAATATCTTCACATAAAAACTAGATAGAAGCATTCTCAGAGACTACTTTGTGAGGATGGCATTCAACTCATGGAGTTGAACAATCCTATTGATAGAGCAGATTGGAATCACTCTTTTTGTAGAATCTGCAAATGGAGATTTGGACTGCTTTGAGGCCTACGGTAGTATAGGAAGGAACTTCATATAAAAGGCAAACGGAAGCATTCTCAGAATATTCTTTGTGATGATGGAGTTTCACTCACAGAGCTGAACATGCCTTTTGATGGAGCAGTTTCCAAATACACTTTTGGTAGAATCTGCAGGTGGATATTTGGACCTCTCTGAAGATTTCGTTGGAAACGGGAATAATTTCCCATACCTAAACACAAACACTCTGAGAAAGTTCTTCATGATGAATGCATTGAACTCGCAGAGATGAACCTGCCTTTGAGAGTTCAGGTTCGAAACACTCTTTCTGTAGAATCTGCAAGTGGATATTTGGACCACTGGGTGGCCTTCGTTCGAAACGGGTATATGTTCACGTAAAAACTAAAGAGAAGCATTCTCAGAAACTTCTGAGTGATGATTGCATTCAAGTCACACGGTTGAACCCTCCTTTTGATTGAGCAGTTTTGAAACTGTCTTTTTGTAGAATCTGTAAGTGGATACGTGGACCTCTTTGAAGATTTCTTTGGAAATGGGAATATTTCCACAGAAAAACTAAACTGAAGCATTCTCAGAAACTGCTTTGTGATGTTTGTGTTCGAGCCGCAGAGTTTAACATTGCTTTTCATAGAGCAGTTTTGAAATATTCTTTTGGCAGAATCTGCAAGTGGACATTTGGAGCGCTTTCAGGCCTGTGGTGGAAAAGGCCTGAAAGCCTTTTCCTTTATCTTCACAGAAAGACGAGAGAGAAGCATTGTCAGAAACTTCTTTGTGATGATTGCATTCAACCCACAGAGTTGAAGATTCCTTTTGAAACAGCAGTTTCGAAACACTCTTTCTGTGGGATCCGCAAGGGGATATTTGGACCTCTTTGAAGATTTCGTTGGAAACGGGATAATCTTCACCTAAAAGCTAAACGGAAGCATTCTCAGAAACTTCTTTGGGATGTTTGCATTCACCTCACAGAGTTGAACTTTCCCTTTGATAGCGCAGCTTCGACACACTTTTTCTCCAATGTGCAAGTGGATATTTAGCGGGCTTGGAGGACTGTGTTGGAAAAGGAAATATCTTCTCCTAAAAACCACATAGAAGCATTCTAAGAAACTGCTCTGTGATGATTGCATTCAACTCCCAGAGTTGAACATTCCTTTTGATAGAGCAGTTTGCAGACACTCTTTTTGTAGAATCTGCAAGTGGAGATTTGGACCGCTTTGAGGCCTGTGGTAGTAAAGGAAAGAACTTCCTATAAAAACTAGACGGTAGCACTCTCAGAAAATTCTTTGTGACGATGGAGTTTAACCTCAGAGAGCTGAACATTCGTTATGATGGAGCAGTTTCCAAACACACGTTTTGTAGAATCTGCAAGGGGATATTTGGACCTCTCTGAGGATTTCGTTGGAAACGGGATCAACTTCCCATAACTAAACGGAAGCAAACTCAGAACATTCTTTGTGATGTTTGTATTCAACTCACAGAGTTGAACCTTCCTTTGATAGTTCAGGTTTGCATCACCCTTGTAGTAGAATCTGCAAGTGTATATTTTGACCACTTAGTAGCCTTCGTTTGAAACGTCTATATCTTCACATCAAACCTAGACAGAAGCATTCTCAGAAAGTTTTCTGCGATGACTGCATTCAACTCACAGAGTTGAACACTCCTTTTGATGGAGCAGTTTTGAAACCCTCTTTCTTTGGAATCTGCAAGGGGATATGTGGACCTCTTTGAAGATTTCACTGGAAACGGGATCATCTTCACATAAGAACTAAACAGAAGCATTCTCGGAAACTACTTTGTGATGTTTGTATTCAACTCCCAGAGTTGAACTTTCCTTTTGAAAGAGCAGCTATGAAACACACTTTTTCGAGAATCTGCAAGTGGACGTTTGGAGGGCTTTGAGGCCTGTGGTGGAAAAGGAAATATCTTCACATGAAAACTAGATAGAAGCATTCTCAGAAAAGGCTTTGTGAGGATGGCATTCAACTCATGGAGTTGAACAATCCTATTGATAGAGCAGATTGGAATCACTCTTTTTGTAGAATCTGCAAATGGAGATTTGGACTGCTTTGAGGCCTACGGTAGTATAGGAAGGAACTTCATATAAAAGGCAAACGGAAGCATTCTCAGAATATTCTTTGTGATGATGGAGTTTCACTCACAGAGCTGAACATGCCTTTTGATGGAGCAGTTTCCAAATAAACTATTGGTAGAATCTGCAGGTGGATATTTGGACCTCTCTGAGGATTTCGTTGGAAACGGGAATAATTTCCCATAACTAAACACAAACACGCTGAGAAAGTTCTTCATGATGAATGCATTTAACTCGCAGAGATGAACCTGCCTTTGAGAGTTCAGGTTCGAAACACTCTTTCTGTAGAATCTGCAAGTGGATATTTGGACCACAGGGTGGCCTTCGTTCGAAACGGGTATATGTTCACGTAAAAACTAAAGAGAAGCGTTCTCAGAAACTTCTGAGTGATGATTGCATTCAAGTCTCACAGTTGAACCCTCCTTTTGATTGAGCAGTTTTGAAACTGTCTTTTTGTAGAATCTGTAAGTGGATGCGTGGACCTCTTTGAAGATTTCTTTGGAAACGGGAATACTTCCACAGAAAAAGTAAACTGAAGCATTCTCAGAAACCGCTTTGTGATGTTTGTGTTCGAGCCACAGAGTTTAACATTGCTTTTCATAGAGCAGTTTTGAAATATTCTTTTGGCAGAATCTGCAAGTGGACATTTGGAGCGCTTTCAGGCCTGTGGTGGAAAAGGCCTGAAAGCCTTTTCCTTTACCTTCACAGAAAGACGAGAGAGAAGCATTGTCAGAAACTTCTTTGTGATGATTGCATTCAACTCACAGAGTTGAAGATTCCTTTTGAAACAGCAGTTTCGAAACACTCTTTCTGTGGGATCCGCAAGGGGATATTTGGACCTCTTTGAAGGTTTCGTTGGAAACGGGATAATCTTCACCTAAAAGCTAAACGGAAGCATTCTCAGAAACTTCTTTGGGATGTTTGCATTCACCTCACAGAGTTGAACTTTCCCTTTGATAGCGCAGCTTTGACACACTTTTTCTACAATGTGCAAGTGGCTATTTAGCGGGCTTGGAGGACTGTGTTGGAAAAGGAAATATCTTCTCCTAAAAACGACATAGAAGCATTCTCAGAAACTGCTCTGTGATGATTGCATTCAACTCCCAGAGTTGAACATTCCTTTTGATAGAGCAGTTTGCAAACACTCTTTTTGTAGAATCTGCAAGTGGAGATTTGGACCGCTTTGAGGCCTGTGGTAGTGAAGGAAAGAACTTCATATAAAAACCAGACGGTAGCACTCTCAGAAAATTCTTTGTGACGATGGAGTTTAACTCAGGGAGCTGAACATTCGTTATGATGGAGCAGTTTCCAAACACACGTTTTGTAGAATCTGCGAGGGGATATTTGGACCTCTCTGAGGATTTCGTTGGAAACGGGATCAACTTCCCATAACTGAACGGAAGCAAACTCAGAACATTCTTTGTGACGTTTGTATTCAACTCACAGAGTTGAACCTTCCTTTGATAGTTCAGGTTTGCAACACCCTTGTAGTAGAATCTGCAAGTGTATATTTTGACCACTTTGTAGCCTTCGTTTGAAACGTCTATATCTTCACATCAAACCTAGACAGAAGCATTCTCAGAAAGTTTTCTGCGATGACTGCATTCAACTCACAGAGTTGAACAATCCTTCTGATGGAGCAGTTTTGAAACCCTCTTTCTTTGGAATCTGCAAGGGGATATGTGGACCTCTTTGAAGATTTCACTGGAAACGGGATCATCTTCACATAAAAACTAAACAGAAGCATTCTCGGAAACTATTTTGTGATGTTTGTATTCAACTCCCAGAGTTGAACTTTCCTTTTGAAAGAGCAGCTATGAAACACTCTTTTTCGAGAATCTGCAAGTGGACGTTTGGAGGGCTTTGAGGCCTGTGGTGGAAAAGGAAATATCTTCACACAAAAACCAGATAGAAGCATTCTCAGAAACTACTTTGTGAGGATGGCATTCAACTCATGGAGTTGAACAATCCTATTGATAGAGCAGATTGGAATCACTCTTTTTGTAGAATCTGCAAATGGAGATTTGGACTGCTTTGAGGCCTACGGTAGTACAGGAAGGAACTTCATATAAAAGGCAAACGGAAGCATTCTCAGAATATTCTTTGTGATGATGGAGTTTCACTCACAGAGCTGAACATGCCTTTTGATGGAGCAGTTTCCAAATACACTTTTGGTAGAATCTGCAGGTGGATATTTGGAGCTCTCTGAGGATTTCTTTGGAAACGGGAATAATTTCCCATAACTAAACACAAACACTCTGAGAAAGTTCTTCATGATGAATGCATTTAACTCGCAGAGATGAACCTTCCTTTGAGAGTTCAGGTTCGAAACACTCTTTCTGTAGAATCTGCAAGCGGATATTTGGACCACTGGGTGGCCTTCGTTCGAAACGGGTATATGTTCACGTAAAAACTAAAGAGAAGCATTCTCAGAAACTTCTGAGTGATGATTGCATTCAAGTCACACAGTTGAACCCTCCTTTTGATGGAGCAGTTTTGAAACTGTCTTTTTGTAGAATCTGTAAGTGGATACGTGGACCTCTTTGAAGATTTCTTTGGAAACGGGAATATTTCCACAGAAAAACTAAACTGAAGCATTCTCAGAAACTGCTATGTGATGTTTGTGTTCGAGCCACAGAGTTTAACATTGCTTTTCATAGAGCAGTTTTGAAATATTCTTTTGGCAGAATCTGCAAGTGGACATTTGGAGCGCTTTCAGGCCTGTGGTTGAAAAGGCCTGAAAGCCTTTTCCTTTATCTTCACAGAAAGACGAGAGAGAAGCATTGTCAGAAACTTCTTTGTGATGATTGCATTCAACTCACAGAGTTGAAGATTCCTTTTGAAACAGCAGTTTCGAAACACTCTTTCTGTGGGATCCGCAAGGGGATATTTGGACCTCTTTGAAGATTTCGTTGGAAACGGGATAATCTTCACCTAAAAGCTAAACGGAAGTATTCTCAGAAACTTCTTTGGGATGTTTGCATTCACCTCACAGACTTGAACTTTCCCTTTGATAGCGCAGCTTCTACACCCTTTTTCTACAATGTGCAAGTGGATATTTAGCGGGCTTGGAGGACTGTGTTGGAAAAGGAAATATCTTCTCCTAAAAACGACATAGAAGCATTCTCAGAAACTGCTCTGTGATGATTGCATTCAACTCCCAGAGTTGAACATTCCTTTTGATAGAGCAGTTTGCAAACACTCTTTTTGTAGAATCTGCCAGTGGAGATTTGGACCGCTTTGAGGCCTGTGGTAGTAAAGGAAAGAACTTCATATAAAAACCAGACGGTAGCACTCTCAGAAAATTCTTTGTGACGATGGAGTTTAACTCAGGGAGCTGAACATTCGTTATGATGGAGCAGTTTCCAAACACACGTTTTGTAGAATCTGCAAGGGGATATTTGGACCTCTCTGAGGATTTCGTTGGAAACGGGATCAACTTCCCATAACTGAACGGAAGCAAACTCAGAACATTCTTTGTGATGTTTGTATTCAACTCACAGAGTTGAACCTTCCTTTGATAGTTCAGGTTTGCAACACCCTTGTAGTAGAATCTGCAAGTGTATATTTTGACCACTTTGTAGCCTTCGTTTGAAACGTCTATATCTTCACATCAAACCTAGACAGAAGCATTCTCAGAAAGTTTTCTGCGATGACTGCATTCAACTCACAGAGTTGAACAATCCTTCTGATGGAGCAGTTTTGAAACCCTCTTTCTTTGGAATCTGCAAGGGGATATGTGGACCTCTTTGAAGATTTCACTGGAAACGGGATCATCTTCACATAAAAACTAAACAGAAGCATTCTCGGAAACTACTTTGTGATGTTTGTATTCAACTCCCAGAGTTGAACTTTCCTTTTGAAAGAGCAGCTATGAAACACTCTTTTTCGAGAATCTGCAAGTGGACGTTTGGAAGGCTTTGAGGCCTGTGGTGGAAAAGGAAATATCTTCACATAAAAACTAGATAGAAGCATTCTCAGAAACGACTTTGTGAGGATGGCATTCAACTCATGGAGTTGAACAATCCTATTGATAGAGCAGATTGGAATCACTCTTTTTGTAGAATCTGCAAATGGAGATTTGGACTGCTTTGAGGCCTACGGTCGTATAGGAAGGAACTTCATATAAAAGGCAAACGGAAGCATTCTCAGAATATTCTTTGTGATGATGGAGTTTCACTCACAGAGCTGAACATGCCTTTTGATGGAGCAGTTTCCAAATACACTTTTGGTAGAATCTGCAGGTGGATATTTGGAGCTCTCTGAGGATTTCGTTGGAAACGGGAATAATTTCCCATAACTAAACACAAACACTCTGAGAAAGTTCTTCATGATGAATGCATTTAACTCGCAGAGATGAACCTGCCTTTGAGAGTTCAGGTTCGAAACACTCTTTCTGTAGAATCTGCAAGTGGATATTTGGACCACTGGGTGGCCTTCGTTCGAAACGGGTATATGTTCACGTAAAAACTAAAGAGAAGCATTCTCAGAAACTTCTGAGTGATGATTGCATTCAAGTCACACAGTTGAACCCTCCTTTTGATGGAGCAGTTTTGAAACTGTCTTTTTGTAGAATCTGTAAGTGGATACAGTGGACCTCTTTGAAGATTTCTTTGGAAACGGGAATATTTCCACAGAAAAACTAAACTGAAGCATTCTCAGAAACTGCTTTGTGATGTTTGTGTTCGAGCGACAGAGTTTAACATTGCTTTTCATAGAGCAGTTTTGAAATATTCTTTTGGCAGAATCTGCAAGTGGACATTTGGAGCGCTTTCAGGCCTGTGGTGGAAAAGGCCTGAAAGCCTTTTCCTTTATCTTCACAGAAAGACGAGAGAGAAGCATTGTCAGAAACTTCTTTGTGATGATTGCATTCAACTCACAGAGTTGAAGATTCCTTTTCAAACAGCAGTTTCGAAACACTCTTTCTGTGGGATCCGCAAGGGGATATTTGGACCTCTTTGAAGGTTTCGTTGGAAACGGGATAATCTTCACCTAAAAGCTAAACGGAAGCATTCTCAGAAACTTCTTTGGGATGTTTGCATTCACCTCACAGAGTTGAACTTTCCCTTTGATAGCGCAGCTTTGACACACTTTTTCTACAATGTGCAAGTGGCTATTTAGCGGGCTTGGAGGACTGTGTTGGAAAAGGAAATATCTTCTCCTAAAAACGACATAGAAGCATTCTCAGAAACTGCTCTGTGATGATTGCATTCAACTCCCAGAGTTGAACATTCTTTTTGATAGAGCAGTTTGCAAACACTCTTTTTGTAGAATCTGGAAGTGGAGATTTGGACCGCTTTGAGGCCTGTGGTAGTGAAGGAAAGAGCTTCATATAAAAACCAGACGGTAGCACTCTCAGAAAATTCTTTGTGACGATGGAGTTTAACTCAGGGAGCTGAACATTCGTTATGATGGAGCAGTTTCCAAACACACGTTTTGTAGAATCTGCAAGGGGATATTTGGACCTCTCTGAGGATTTCGTTGGAAACGGGATCAACTTCCCATAACTGAACGGAAGCAAACTCAGAACATTCTTTGTGATGTTTGTATTCAACTCACAGAGTTGAACCTTCCTTTGATAGTTCAGGTTTGCAACACCCTTGTAGTAGAATCTGCAAGTGTATATTTTGACCACTTTGTAGCCTTCGTTTGAAACGTCTATATCTTCACATCAAACCTAGAAAGAAGCATTCTCAGAAAGTTTTCTGCGATGACTGCATTCAACTCACAGAGTTGAACAATCCTTCTGATGGAGCAGTTTTGAAACCCTCTTTCTTTGGAATCTGCAAGGGGATATGTGGACCTCTTTGAAGATTTCACTGGAAACGGGATCATCTTCACATAAAAACTAAACAGAAGCATTCTCGGAAACTACTTTGTGATGTTTGTATTCAACTGCCAGAGTTGAACTTTCCTTTTGAAAGAGCAGCTATGAAACACTCTTTTTCGAGAATCTGCAAGTGGACGTTTGGAGGGCTTTGAGGCCTGTGGTGGAAAAGGAAATATCTTCACATAAAAACTAGATAGAAAGCATTCTCAGAAACGACTTTGTGAGGATGGCATTCAACTCATGGAGTTGAACAATCCTATTGATAGAGCAGATTGGAATCACTCTTTTTGTAGAATCTGCAAATGGAGATTTGGACTGCTTTGAGGCCTACGGTCGTATAGGAAGGAACTTCAGATAAAAGGCAAACGGAAGCATTCTCAGAATATTCTTTGTGATGACGGAGTTTCACTCACAGAGCTGAACATGCCTTTTCATGGAGCAGTTTCCAAATACACTTTTGGTAGAATCTGCAGGTGGATATTTGGAGCTCTCTGAGGATTTCGTTGGAAACGGGAATAATTTCCCATAACTAAACACAAACACGCTGAGAAAGTTCTTCATGATGAATGCATTTAACTCGCAGAGATGAACCTGCCTTTGAGAGTTCAGGTTCAAAACACTCTTTCTGTAGAATCTGCAAGTGGATATTTGGACCACTGGCTGGCCTTCGTTCGAAACGGGTATATGTTCACGTAAAAACTAAAGAGAAGCGTTCTCAGAAACTTCTGAGTGATGAATGCATTCAAGTCACACAGTTGAACCCTCCTTTTGATTGAGCAGTTTTGAAACTGTCTTTTTGTAGAATCTGTAAGTGGATGCGTGGACCTCTTTGAAGATTTCTTTGGAAACGGGAATATTTCCACAGAAAAACTAAACTGAAGCATTCTCAGAAACTGCTTTGTGATGTTTGTGTTCGAGCCGCAGAGTTTAACATTGCTTTTCATAGAGCAGTTTTGAAATATTCTTTTGGCAGAATCTGCAAGTGGACATTTGGAGCGCTTTCAGGCCTGTGGTGCAAATGGCCTGAAAGCCTTTTCCTTTATCTTCACAGAAAGACGAGAGAGAAGCATTGTCAGAAACTTCTTTGTGATGATTGCATTCAACTCACAGAGTTGAAGATTCCTTTTGAAACAGCAGTTTCGAAACACTCTTTCTGTGGGATCCGCAAGGGGATATTTGGACCTCTTTGAAGATTTCGTTGGAAACGGGATAATCTTCACTTAAAGCTAAACGGAAGCATTCTCAGAAACTTCTTTGGGATGTTTGCATTCACCTCACAGAGTTGAACTTTCCCTTTGATAGCGCAGCTTCGACACACTTTTTCTACAATGTGCAAGTGGATATTTAGCGGGCTTGGAGGACTGTGTTGGAAAAGGAAATATCTTCTCCTAAAAACGACATAGAAGCATTCTCAGAAACTGCTCTGTGATGATTGCATTCAACTCCCAGAGTTGAACATTCCTTTTGATAGAGCAATTTGCAAACACTCTTTTTGTAGAATCTGCAAGTGGAGATTTGGACCGCTTTGAGGCCTGTGGTAGTAAAGGAAAGAACTTCATATAAAAAGTAGACGGTAGCACTCTCAGAAAATTCTTTGTGACGATGGAGTTTAACTCAGAGAGCTGAACATTCGTTATGATGGAGCAGTTTCCAAACACACGTTTTGTAGAATCTGCAAGGGGATATTTGGACCTCTCTGAGGATTTCGTTGGAAACGGTATCAATTTCCCATAACTAAACGGAAGCAAACTCAGAACATTCTTTGTGATGTTTGCATTCATCTCACAGAGTTGAACCTTCCTTTGATAGTTGAGGTTTGCAACACCCTTGTAGTAGAATCTGCAAGTGTATATTTTGACCACATTGTAGCCTTCGTTTGAAACGTCTATATCTTCACATCAAACCTAGACAGAAGCATCCTCAGAAAGTTTTCTGCGATGACTGCATTCAACTCACAGAGTTGAACAATCCTTTTGATGGAGCAGTTTTGAAACCCTCTTTCTTTGGAATCTGCAAGGGGATATGTGGACCTCTTTGAAGATTTCACTGGAAACGGGATCATCTTCACATAAGAACTAAACAGAAGCATTCTCGGAAACTACTTTGTGATGTTTGTATTCAACTCCCAGAGTTGAACTTTCCTTTTGAAAGAGCAGCTATGAAACACTCTTTTTCGAGAATCTGCAAGTGGACGTTTGGAGGGCTTTGAGGCCTGTGGTGGAAAAGGAAATATCTTCACATAAAAACTACATAGAAGCATTCTCAGAAACTACTTTGTGAGGATGGCATTCAACTCATGGAGTTGAACAATCCTATTGATAGAGCAGATTGGAATCACTCTTTTTGTAGAATCTGCAAATGGAGATTTGGACTGCTTTGAGGCCTACGGTAGTATAGGAAGGAACTTCATATAAAAGGCAAACGGAAGCATTCTCAGAATATTCTTTGTGATGACGGAGTTTCACTCACAGAGCTGAACATGCCTTTTCATGGAGCAGTTTCCAAATACACTTTTGGTAGAATCTGCAGGTGGATATTTGGAGCTCTCTGAGGATTTCGTTGGAAACGGGAATAATTTCCCATAACTAAACACAAACACGCTGAGAAAGTTCTTCATGATGAATGCATTTAACTCGCAGAGATGAACCTGCCTTTGAGAGTTCAGGTTCAAAACACTCTTTCTGTAGAATCTGCAAGTGGATATTTGGACCACTGGCTGGCCTTCGTTCGAAACGGGTATATGTTCACGTAAAAACTAAAGAGAAGCGTTCTCAGAAACTTCTGAGTGATGAATGCATTCAAGTCACACAGTTGAACCCTCCTTTTGATTGAGCAGTTTTGAAACTGTCTTTTTGTAGAATCTGTAAGTGGATGCGTGGACCTCTTTGAAGATTTCTTTGGAAACGGGAATATTTCCACAGAAAAACTAAACTGAAGCATTCTCAGAAACTGCTTTGTGATGTTTGTGTTCGAGCCGCAGAGTTTAACATTGCTTTTCATAGAGCAGTTTTGAAATATTCTTTTGGCAGAATCTGCAAGTGGACATTTGGAGCGCTTTCAGGCCTGTGGTGGAAATGGCCTGAAAGCCTTTTCCTTTATCTTCACAGAAAGACGAGAGAGAAGCATTGTCAGAAACTTCTTTGTGATGATTGCATTCAACTCACAGAGTTGAAGATTCCTTTTGAAACAGCAGTTTCGAAACACTCTTTCTGTGGGATCCGCAAGGGGATATTTGGACCTCTTTGAAGATTTCGTTGGAAACGGGATAATCTTCACTTAAAGCTAAACGGAAGCATTCTCAGAAACTTCTTTGGGATGTTTGCATTCACCTCACAGAGTTGAACTTTCCCTTTGATAGCGCAGCTTCGACACACTTTTTCTACAATGTGCAAGTGGATATTTAGCGGGCTTGGAGGACTGTGTTGGAAAAGGAAATATCTTCTCCTAAAAACGACATAGAAGCATTCTCAGAAACTGCTCTGTGATGATTGCATTCAACTCCCAGAGTTGAACATTCCTTTTGATAGAGCAGTTTGCAAACACTCTTTTTGTAGAATCTGCAAGTGGAGATTTGGACCGCTTTGAGGCCTGTGGTAGTAAAGCAAAGAACTTCATATAAAAAGTAGACGGTAGCACTCTCAGAAAATTCTTTGTGACGATGGAGTTTAACTCAGAGAGCTGAACATTCGTTATGATGGAGCAGTTTCCAAACACACGTTTTGTAGAATCTGCAAGGGGATATTTGGACCTCTCTGAGGATTTCGTTGGAAACGGGATCAACTTCCCATAACTGAACGGAAGCAAACTCAGAACATTCTTTGTGATGTTTGCATTCGTCTCACAGAGTTGAACCTTCCTTTGATAGTTGAGGTTTGCAACACCCTTGTAGTAGAATCTGCAAGTGTATATTTTGACCACTTTGTAGCCTTCGTTTGAAACGTCTATATCTTCACATCAAACCTAGACAGAAGCATTCTCAGAAAGTTTTCTGCGATGACTGCATTCAACTCACAGAGTTGAACAATCCTTCTGATGGAGCAGTTTTGAAACCCTCTTTCTTTGGAATCTGCAAGGGGATATGTGGACCTCTTTGAAGATTTCACTGGAAACGGGATCATCTTCACATAAAAACTAAACAGAAGCATTCTCGGAAACTACTTTGTGATGTTTGTATTCAACTCCCAGAGTTGAACTTTCCTTTTGAAAGAGCAGCTATGAAACACTCTTTTTCGAGAATCTGCAAGTGGACGTTTGGAGGGCTTTGAGGCCTGTGCTGGAAAAGGAAATATCTTCACGTAAAAACTAGATAGAAGCATTCTCAGAAACGACTTTGTGAGGATGGCATTCAACTCATGGAGTTGAACAATCCTATTGATAGAGCAGATTGGAATCACTCTTTTTGTGGAATCTGCAAATGGAGATTTGGACTGCTTTGAGGCCTACGGTCGTATAGGAAGGAACTTCAGATAAAAGGCAAACGGAAGCATTCTCAGAATATTCTTTGTGATGATGGAGTTTCACTCACAGAGCTGAACATGCCTTTTGATGGAGCAGTTTCCAAATACACTTTTGGTAGAATCTGCAGGTGGATATTTGGAGCTCTCTGAGGATTTCGTTGGAAACGGGAATAATTTCCCATAACTAAACACAAACACGCTGAGAAAGTTCTTCATGATGAATGCATTTAACTCGCAGAGATGAACCTGCCTTTGAGAGTTCAGGTTCGAAACACTCTTTCTGTAGAATCTGCAAGTGGACATTTGGACCACTGGGTGGCCTTCGTTCGAAACGGGTATATGTTCACGTAAAAACTAAAGAGAAGCATTCTCAGAAACTTCTGAGTGATGATTGCATTCAAGTCACACAGTTGAACCCTCCTTTTGATTGAGCAGTTTTGAAACTGTCTTTTTGTAGAATCTGTAAGTGGATACGTGGACCTCTTTGAAGATTTCTTTGGAAACGGGAATATTTCCACAGAAAAACTAAACTGAAGCATTCTCAGAAACTGCTTTGTGATGTTGGTGTTCGAGCCGCAGAGTTTAACATTGCTTTTCATAGAGCAGTTTTGAAATATTCTTTTGGCAGAATCTGCAAGTGGACATTTGGAGCGCTTTCAGGCCTGTGGTGGAAAAGGCCTGAAAGCCTTTTCCTTTATCTTCACAGAAAGACGAGAGAGAAGCATTGTCAGAAACTTCTTTGTGATGATTGCATTCAACTCACAGAGTTGAAGATTCCTTTTGAAACAGCAGTTTCGAAACACTCTTTCTGTGGGATCCGCAAGGGGATATTTGGACCTCTTTGAAGGTTTCGTTGGAAACGGGATAATCTTCACCTAAAAGCTAAATGGAAGCATTCTCAGAAACTTCTTTGGGATGTTTGCATTCACCTCACAGAGTTGAACTTTCCCTTTGATAGCGCAGCTTTGACACACTTTTTCTACAATGTGCAAGTGGCTATTTAGCGGGCTTGGAGGACTGTGTTGGAAAAGGAAATATCTTCTCCTAAAAACGACATAGAAGCATTCTCAGAAACTGCTCTGTGATGATTGCATTCAACTCCCAGAGTTGAACATTCCTTTTGATAGAGCAGTTTGCAAACACTCTTTTTGTAGAATCTGCAAGTGGAGATTTGGACCGCTTTGAGGTCTGTGGTAGTGAAGGAAAGAGCTTCATATAAAAACCAGACGGTAGCACTCTCAGAAAATTCTTTGTGACGATGGAGTTTAACTCAGGGAGCTGAACATTCGTTATGATGGAGCAGTTTCCAAACACACGTTTTGTAGAATCTGCAAGGGGATATTTGGACCTCTCTGAGGATTTCGTTGGAAACGGGATCAACTTCCCATAACTGAACGGAAGCAAACTCAGAACATTCTTTGTGATGTTTGTATTCAACTCACAGAGTTGAACCTTCCTTTGATAGTTCAGGTTTGCAACACCCTTGTAGTAGAATCTGCAAGTGTATATTTTGACCACTTTGTAGCCTTCATTTGAAACGTCTATATCTTCACATCAAACCTAGACAGAAGCATTCTCAGAAAGTTTTCTGCGATGACTGCATTCAACTCACAGAGTTGAACAATCCTTTTGATGGAGCAGTTTTGAAACCCTCTTTCTTTGCAATCTGCAGGGGGATATGTGGACCTCTTTGAAGATTTCACTGGAAACGGGATCATCTTCACATAAAAACTAAACAGAAGCATTCTCGGAAACTACTTTGTGATGTTTGTATTCAACTCCCAGAGTTGAACTTTCCTTTTGAAAGAGCAGCTATGAAACACTCTTTTTCGAGAATCTGCAAGTGGACGTTTGGAGGGCTTTGAGGCCTGTGGTGGAAAAGGAAATATCTTCACATAAAAACTAGATAGAAGCATTCTCAGAAACGACTTTGTGAGGATGGCATTCAACTCATGGAGTTGAACAATCCTATTGATAGAGCAGATTGGAATCACTCTTTTTGTAGAATCTGCAAATGGAGATTTGGACTGCTTTGAGGCCTACGGTCGTATAGGAAGGAACTTCATATAAAAGGCAAACGGAAGCATTCTCAGAATATTCTTTGTGATGATGGAGTTTCACTCACAGAGCTGAACATGCCTTTTGATGGAGCAGTTTCCAAAAACACTTTTGGTAGAATCTGCAGGTGGATATTTGGAGCTCTCTGAGGATTTCGTTGGAAACGGGAATAATTTCCCATAACTAAACACAAACACTCTGAGAAAGTTCTTCATGATGAATGCATTTAACTCGCAGAGATGAACCTGCCTTTGAGAGTTCAGGTTCGAAACACTCTTTCTGTAGAATCTGCAAGTGGATATTTGGACCACTGGCTGGCCTTCGTTCGAAACGGGTATATGTTCACGTAAAAACTAAAGAGAATCATTCTCAGAAACTTCTGAGTGATGATTGCATTCAAGTCACACAGTTGAACCCTCCTTTTGATGGAGCAGTTTTGAAACTGTCTTTTTGTAGAATCTGTAAGTGGATACGTGGACCTCTTTGAAGATTTCTTTGGAAACGGGAATATTTCCAAAGAAAAACTAAACTGAAGCATTCTCAGAAACCGCTTTGTGATGTTTGTGTTCGAGCCACAGAGTTTAACATTGCTTTTCATAGAGCAGTTTTGAAATATTCTTTTGGCAGAATCTGCAAGTGGACATTTGGAGCGCTTTCAGGCCTGTGGTGGAAAAGGCCTGAAAGCCTTTTCCTTTATCTTCACAGAAAGACGAGAGAGAAGCATTGTCAGAAACTTCTTTGTGATGATTGCATTCAACTCACAGAGTTGAAGATTCCTTTTGAAACAGCAGTTTCGAAACACTCTTTCTGTGGGATCCGCAAGGGGATATTTGGACCTCTTTGAAGGTTTCGTTGGAAACGGGATAATCTTCACCTAAAAGCTAAACGGAAGCATTCTCAGAAACTTCTTTGGGATGTTTGCATTCACCTCACAGAGTTGAACTTTCCCTTTGATAGCGCAGCTTCGACACACTTTTTCTACAATGTGCAAGTGGCTATTTAGCGGGCTTGGAGGACTGTGTTGGAAAAGGAAATATCTTCTCCTAAAAACGACATAGAAGCATTCTCAGAAACTGCTCTGTGATGATTGCATTCAACTCCCAGAGTTGAACATTCCTTTTGATAGAGCAGTTTGCAAACACTCTTTTTGTAGAATCTGCAAGTGGAGATTTGGACCGCTTTGAGGCCTGTGGTAGTGAAGGAAAGAACTTCATATAAAAACCAGACGGTAGCACTATCAGAAAATTCTTTGTGACGATGGAGTTTAACTCAGGGAGCTGAACATTCGTTATGATGGAGCAGTTTCCAAACACACGTTTTGTAGAATCTGCGAGGGGATATTTGGACCTCTCTGAGGATTTCGTTGGAAACGGGATCAACTTCCCATAACTGAACGGAAGCAAACTCAGAACATTCTTTGTGATGTTTGTATTCAACTCACAGAGTTGAACCTTCCTTTGATAGTTCAGGTTTGCAACACCCTTGTAGTAGAATCTGCAAGTGTATATTTTGACCACTTTGTAGCTTTCGTTTGAAACGTCTATATCTTCACATCAAACCTAGACAGAAGCATTCTCAGAAAGTTTTCTGCGATGACTGCATTCAACTCACAGAGTTGAACAATCCTTTTGATGGAGCAGTTTTGAAACCCTCTTTCTTTGGAATCTGCAAGGGGATATGTGGACCTCTTTGAAGATTTCACTGGAAACGGGATCATCTTCACATAAAAACTAAACAGAAGCATTCTCGGAAACTATTTTGTGATGTTTGTATTCAACTCCCAGAGTTGAACTTTCCTTTTGAAAGAGCAGCTATGAAACACTCTTTTTCGAGAATCTGCAAGTGGACGTTTGGAGGGCTTTGAGGCCTGTGGTGGAAAAGGAAATATCTTCACACAAAAACCAGATAGAAGCATTCTCAGAAACTACTTTGTGAGGATGGCATTCAACTCATGGAGTTGAACAATCCTATTGATAGAGCAGATTGGAATCACTCTTTTTATAGAATCTGCAAATGGAGATTTGGACTGCTTTGAGGCCTACGGTAGTATAGGAAGGAACTTCATATAAAAGGCAAACGGAAGCATTCTCAGAATATTCTTTGTGATGATGGAGTTTCACTCACAGAGCTGAACATGCCTTTTGATGGAGCAGTTTCCAAATACACTTTTGGTAGAATCTGCAGGTGGATATTTGGAGCTCTCTGAGGATTTCGTTGGAAACGGGAATAATTTCCCATAACTAAACACAAACACTCTGAGAAAGTTCTTCATGATGAATGCATTTAACTCGCAGAGATGAACCTGCCTTTGAGAGTTCAGGTTCGAAACACTCTTTCTGTATAATCTGCAAGTGGATATTTGGACCACTGGGTGGCCTTCGTTCGAAACGCGTATATGTTCACGTAAAAACTAAAGAGAAGCATTCTCAGAAACTTCTGAGTGATGATTGCATTCAAGTCACACAGTTGAACCCTCCTTTTGATGGAGCAGTTTTGAAACTGTCTTTTTGTAGAATCTGTAAGTGGATACGTGGACCTCTTTGAAGATTTCTTTGGAAACGGGAATACTTCCACAGAAAAACTAAACTGAAGCATTCTCAGAAACCGCTTTGTGATGTTTGTGTTCGAGCCGCAGAGTTTAACATTGCTTTTCATAGAGCAGTTTTGAAATATTCTTTTCGCAGAATCTGCAAGTGGACATTTGGAGCGCTTTCAGGCCTGTGGTGGCAAAGGCCTGAAAGCCTTTTCCTTTATCTTCACAGAAAGACGAGAGAGAAGCATTGTCAGAAACTTCTTTGTGATGATTGCATTCAACTCACAGAGTTGAAGATTCCTTTTGAAACAGCAGTTTCGAAACACTCTTTCTGTGGGATCCGCAAGGGGATATTTGGACCTCTTTGAAGGTTTCGTTGGAAACGGGATAATCTTCACCTAAAAGCTAAACGGAAGCATTCTCAGAAACTTCTTTGGGATGTTTGCATTCACCTCACAGAGTTGAACTTTCCCTTTGATAGCGCAGCTTTGACACACTTTTTCTACAATGTGCAAGTGGCTATTTAGCGGGCTTGGAGGACTGTGTTGGAAAAGGAAATATCTTCTCCTAAAAACGACATAGAAGCATTCTCAGAAACTGCTCTGTGATGATTGCATTCAACTCCCAGAGTTGAACATTCCTTTTGATAGAGCAGTTTGCAAACACTCTTTTTGTAGAATCTGCAAGTGGAGATTTGGACCGCTTTGAGGCCTGTGGTAGTGAAGGAAAGAACTTCATATAAAAACCAGACGGTAGCACTCTCAGAAAATTCTTTGTGACGATGGAGTTTAACTCAGGGAGCTGAACATTCGTTATGATGGAGCAGTTTCCCAACACACGTTTTGTAGAATCTGCAAGGGGATATTTGGACCTCTCTGAGGATTTCGTTGGAAACGGGATCAACTTCCCATAACTGGACGGAAGCAAACTCAGAACATTCTTTGTGATGTTTGTATTCAACTCACAGAGTTGAACCTTCCTTTGATAGTTCAGGTTTGCAACACCCTTGTAGTAGAATCTGCAAGTGTATATTTTGACCACTTTGTAGCCTTCGTTTGAAACGTCTATATCTTCACATCAAACCTAGACAGAAGCATTCTCAGAAAGTTTTCTGCGATGACTGCATTCAACTCACAGAGTTGAACAATCCTTCTGATGGAGCAGTTTTGAAACCCTCTTTCTTTGGAATCTGCAAGGCGATATGTGGACCTCTTTGAAGATTTCACTGGAAACGGGATCATCTTCACATAAAAACTAAACAGAAGCATTCTCGGAAACTACTTTGTGATGTTTGTATTCAACTCCCAGAGTTGAACTTTCCTTTTGAAAGAGCAGCTATGAAACACTCTTTTTCGAGAATCTGAAAGTGGACGTTTGGAGGGCTTTGAGGCCTGTGGTGGAAAAGGAAATATCTTCACATAAAAACTAGATAGAAGCATTCTCAGAAACGACATTGAGGATGGCATTCAACACATGGAGTTGGACAATCCTATTGATAGAGCAGATTGGAATCACTCTTTTTGTAGAATCTGCAAATGGAGATTTGGACTGCTTTGAGGCCTACGGTAGTATAGGAAGGAACTTCATATAAACGGCAAACGGAAGCATTCTCAGAATATTCTTTGTGATGATGGAGTTTCACTCACAGAGCTGAACATGCCTTTTGATGGAGCAGTTTCCAAATACACTTTTGGTAGAATCTGCAGGTGGATATTTGGAGCTCTCTGAGGATTTCGTTGGAAACGGGAATAATTTCCCATAACTAAACACAAACACTCTGAGAAAGTTCTTCATGATGAATGCATTTAACTCGCAGAGATGAACCTGCCTTTGAGAGTTCAGGTTCGAAACACTCTTTCTGTAGAATCTGCAAGTGGATATTTGGACCACTGGGTGGCCTTCGTTCGAAACGGGTATATGTTCACGTAAAAACTAAAGAGAAGCATTCTCAGAAACTTCTGAGTGATGATTGCATTCAAGTCACACAGTTGAACCCTCCTTTTGATGGAGCAGTTTTGAAACTGTCTTTTTGTAGAATCTGTAAGTGGATACGTGGACCTCTTTGAAGATTTCTTTGGAAACGGGAATATTTCCACAGAAAAACTAAACTGAATCATTCTCAGAAACCGCCTTGTGATGTTTGTGTTCGAGCCACAGAGTTTAACATTGCGTTTCATAGAGCAGTTTTGAAATATTCTTTTGGCAGAATCTGCAAGTGGACATTTGGAGCGCTTTCAGGCCTGTGGTGGAAAAGTCCTGAAAGCCTTTTCCTTTACCTTCACAGAAAGACGAGAGAGAAGCATTGTCAGAAACTTCTTTGTGATGATTGCATTCAACTCACAGAGTTGAAGATTCCTTTTGAAACAGCAGTTTCGAAACACTCTTTCTGTGGGATCCGCAAGGGGATATTTGGACCTCTTTGAAGGTTTCGTTGGAAACGGGATAATCTTCACCTAAAAGCTAAACGGAAGCACTCTCAGAAACTTCTTTGGGATGTTTGCATTCACCTCACAGAGTTGAACTTTCCCTTTGATAGCGCAGCTTTGACACACTTTTTCTACAATGTGCAAGTGACTATTTAGCGGGCTTGGAGGACTGTGTTGGAAAAGGAAATATCTTCTCCTAAAAACGACATAGAAGCATTCTCAGAAACTGCTCTGTGATGATTGCATTCAACTCCCAGAGTTGAACATTCCTTTTGATAGAGCAGTTTGCAAACACTCTTTTTGTAGAATCTGCAAGTGGAGATTTGGACCGCTTTGAGGCCTGTGGTAGTGAAGGAAAGAACTTCATATAAAAACCAGACGGTAGCACTCTCAGAAAATTCTTTGTGACGATGGAGTTTAACTCAGGGAGCTGAACATTCGTTATGATGGAGCAGTTTCCAAACACACGTTTTGTAGAATCTGCGAGGGGATATTTGGACCTCTCTGAGGATTTCGTTGGAAACGGGATCAACTTCCCATAACTGAACGGAAGCAAACTCAGAACATTCTTTGTGATGTTTGTATTCAACTCACAGAGTTGAACCTTCCTTTGATAGTTCAGGTTTGCAACACCCTTGTAGTAGAATCTGCAAGTGTATATTTTGACCACTTTGTAGCCTTCGTTTGAAACGTCTATATCTTCACATCAAACCTAGACAGAAGCATTCTCAGAAAGTTTTCTGCGATGACTGCATTGAACTCACAGAGTTGAACAATCCTTCTGATGGAGCAGTTTTTAAACCCTCTTTCTTTGGAATCTGCAATGGGATATGTGGACCTCTTTGAAGATTTCACTGGAAACGGGATCATCTTCACATAAAAACTAAACAGAAGCATTCTCGGAAACTATTTTGTGATGTTTGTATTCAACTCCCAGAGTTGAACTTTCCTTTTGAAAGAGCAGCTATGAAACACTCTTTTTCGAGAATCTGCAAGTGGACGTTTGGAGGGCTTGGAGGCCTGTGCTGGAAAAGGAAATACCTTCACATAAAAACTAGATAGAAGCATTCTCAGAAACTACTTTGTGAGGATGGCATTCAACTCATGGAGTTGAACAATCCTATTGATAGAGCAGATTGGAATCACTCTTTTTGTAGAATCTGCAAATGGAGATTTGGACTGCTTTGAGGCCTACGGTCGTATAGGAAGGAACTTCAGATAAAAGGCAAACGGAAGCATTCTCAGAATATTCTTTGTGATGATGGAGTTTCACTCACAGAGCTGAACATGCCTTTTGATGGAGCAGTTTCCAAATACACTTTTGGTAGAATCTGCAGGTGGATATTTGGACCACTCTGAGGATTTCGTTGGAAACGGGAATAATTTCCCATAACTAAACACAAACACTCTGAGAAAGTTCTTCATGATGAATGCATTTAACTCGCAGAGATGAACCTGCCTTTGAGAGTTCAGGTTCGAAACACTCTTTCTGTAGAATCTGCAAGTGGATATTTGGACCACTGGGTGGCCTTCGTTCGAAACGGGTATATGTTCACGTAAAAACTAAAGAGAAGCATTCTCAGAAACTTCTGAGTGATGATTGCATTCAAGTCACACAGTTGAACCCTCCTTTTGATGGAGCAGTTTTGAAACTGTCTTTTTGTAGAATCTGTAAGTGGATACGTGGACCTCTTTGAAGATTTCTTTGGAAACGGGAATATTTCCACAGAAAAACTAAACTGAAGCATTCTCAGAAACCGCTTTGTGATGTTTGTGTTCCAGCCACAGAGTTTAACATTGCTTTTCATAGAGCAGTTTTGAAATATTCTTTTCGCAGAATCTGCAAGTGGACATTTGGAGCGCTTTCAGGCCTGTGGTGGCAAAGGCCTGAAAGCCTTTTCCTTTATCTTCACAGAAAGACGAGAGAGAAGCATTGTCAGAAACTTCTTTGTGATGATTGCATTCAACTCACAGAGTTGAAGATTCCTTTTGAAACAGCAGTTTCGAAACACTCTTTCTGTGGGATCCGCAAGGGGATATTTGGACCTCTTTGAAGGTTTCGTTGGAAACGGGATAATCTTCACCTAAAAGCTAAACGGAAGCATTCTCAGAAACTTCTTTGGGATGTTTGCATTCACCTCACAGAGTTGAACTTTCCCTTTGATAGCGCAGCTTTGACACACTTTTTCTACAATGTGCAAGTGGCTATTTAGCGGGCTTGGAGGACTGTGTTGGAAAAGGAAATATCTTCTCCTAAAAACGACATAGAAGCATTCTCAGAAACTGCTCTGTGATGATTGCATTCAACTCCCAGAGTTGAACATTCCTTTTGATAGAGCAGTTTGCAAACACTCTTTTTGTAGAATCTGCAAGTGGAGATTTGGACCGCTTTGAGGCCTGTGGTAGTGAAGGAAAGAACTTCATATAAAAACCAGACGGTAGCACTCTCAGAAAATTCTTTGTGACGATGGAGTTTAACTCAGGGAGCTGAACATTCGTTATGATGGAGCAGTTTCCAAACACACGTTTTGTAGAATCTGCAAGGGGATATTTGGACCTCTCTGAGGATTTCGTTGGAAACGGGATCAACTTCCCATAACTGAACGGAAGCAAACTCAGAACATTCTTTGTGATGTTTGTATTCAACTCACAGAGTTGAACCTTCCTTTGATAGTTCAGGTTTGCAACACCCTTGTAGTAGAATCTGCAAGTGTATATTTTGACCACTTTGTAGCCTTCATTTGAAACGTCTATATCTTCACATCAAACCTAGACAGAAGCATTCTCAGAAAGTTTTCTGCGATGACTGCATTCAACTCACAGAGTTGAACAATCCTTTTGATGGAGCAGTTTTGAAACCCTCTTTCTTTGCAATCTGCAGGGGGATATGTGGACCTCTTTGAAGATTTCACTGGAAACGGGATCATCTTCACATAAAAACTAAACAGAAGCATTCTCGGAAACTACTTTGTGATGTTTGTATTCAACTCCCAGAGTTGAACTTTCCTTTTGAAAGAGCAGCTATGAAACACTCTTTTTCGAGAATCTGCAAGTGGACGTTTGGAGGGCTTTGAGGCCTGTGGTGGAAAAGGAAATATCTTCACATAAAAACTAGATAGAAGCATTCTCAGAAACGACTTTGTGAGGATGGCATTCAACTCATGGAGTTGAACAATCCTATTGATAGAGCAGATTGGAATCACTCTTTTTGTAGAATCTGCAAATGGAGATTTGGACTGCTTTGAGGCCTACGGTCGTATAGGAAGGAAGTTCATATAAAAGGCAAACGGAAGCATTCTCAGAATATTCTTTGTGATGATGGAGTTTCACTCACAGAGCTGAACATGCCTTTTGATGGAGCAGTTTCCAAATACACTTTTGGTAGAATCTGCAGGTGGATATTTGGAGCTCTCTGAGGATTTCGTTGGAAACGGGAATAATTTCCCATAACTAAACACAAACACTCTGAGAAAGTTCTTCATGATGAATGCATTTAACTCGCAGAGATGAACCTGCCTTTGAGAGTTCAGGTTCGAAACACTCTTTCTGTAGAATCTGCAAGTGGATATTTGGACCACTGGCTGGCCTTCGTTCGAAACGGGTATATGTTCACGTAAAAACTAAAGAGAAGCATTCTCAGAAACTTCTGAGTGATGATTGCATTCAAGTCACACAGTTGAACCCTCCTTTTGATGGAGCAGTTTTGAAACTGTCTTTTTGTAGAATCTGTAAGTGGATACGTGGACCTCTTTGAAGATTTCTTTGGAAACGGGAATATTTCCAAAGAAAAACTAAACTGAAGCATTCTCAGAAACCGCTTTGTGATGTTTGTGTTCGAGCCACAGAGTTTAACATTGCTTTTCATAGAGCAGTTTTGAAATATTCTTTTCGCAGAATCTGCAAGTGGACATTTGGAGCGCTTTCAGGCCTGTGGTGGAAAAGGCCTGAAAGCCTTTTCCTTTATCTTCACAGAAAGACGAGAGAGAAGCATTGTCAGAAACTTCTTTGTGATGATTGCATTCAACTCACAGAGTTGAAGATTCCTTTTGAAACAGCAGTTTCGAAACACTCTTTCTGTGGGATCCGCAAGGGGATATTTGGACCTCTTTGAAGGTTTCGTTGGAAACGGGATAATCTTCACCTAAAAGCTAAACGGAAACATTCTCAGAAACTTCTTTGGGATGTTTGCATTCACCTCACAGAGTTGAACTTTCCCTTTGATAGCGCAGCTTTGACACACTTTTTCTACAATGTGCAAGTGGCTATTTAGCGGGCTTGGAGGACTGTGTTGGAAAAGGAAATATCTTCTCCTAAAAACGACATAGAAGCATTCTCAGAAACTGCTCTGTGATGATTGCATTCAACTCCCAGAGTTGAACATTCCTTTTGATAGAGCAGTTTGCAAACACTCTTTTTGTAGAATCTGCAAGTGGAGATTTGGACCGCTTTGAGGCCTGTGGTAGTGAAGGAAAGAACTTCATATAAAAACCAGACGGTAGCACTCTCAGAAAATTCTTTGTGACGATGGAGTTTAACTCAGGGAGCTGAACATTCGTTATGATGGAGCAGTTTCCAAACACACGTTTTGTAGAATCTGCAAGGGGATATTTGGACCTCTCTGAGGATTTCGTTGGAAACGGGATCAACTTCCCATAACTGAACGGAAGCAAACTCAGAACATTCTTTGTGATGTTTGTATTCAACTCACAGAGTTGAACCTTCCTTTGATAGTTCAGGTTTGCAACACCCTTGTAGTAGAATCTGCAAGTGTATATTTTGACCACTTTGTAGCCTTCGTTTGAAACGTCTATATCTTCACATCAAACCTAGACAGAAGCATTCTCAGAAAGTTTTCTGCGATGACTGCATTCAACTCACAGAGTTGAACAATCCTTCTGATGGAGCAGTTTTGAAACCCTCTTTCTTTGGAATCTGCAAGGGGATATGTGGACCTCTTTGAAGATTTCACTGGAAACGGGATCATCTTCACATAAAAACTAAACAGAAGCATTCTCGGAAACTACTTTGTGATGTTTGTATTCAACTCCCAGAGTTGAACTTTCCTTTTGAAAGAGCAGCTATGAAACACTCTTTTTCGAGGATCTGCAAGTGGACGTTTGGAGGGCTTTGAGGCCTGTGGTGGAAAAGGAAATATCTTCACATAAAAACTAGATAGAAGCATTCTCAGAAACGACTTTGTGAGGATGGCATTCAACTCATGGAGTTGAACAATCCTATTGATAGAGCAGATTGGAATCACTCTTTTTGTAGAATCTGCAAATGGAGATTTGGACTGCTTTGAGGCCTACGGTCGTATTGGAAGGAACTTCATATAAAAGGCAAACGGAAGCATTCTCAGAATATTCTTTGTGATGATGGAGTTTCACTCACAGAGCTGAACATGCCTTTTGATGGAGCAGTTTCCAAATACACTTTTGGTAGAATCTGCAGGTGGATATTTGGAGCTCTCTGAGGATTTCGTTGGAAACGGGAATAATTTCCCATAACTAAACACAAACACTCTGAGAAAGTTCTTCATGATGAATGCATTTAACTCGCAGAGATGAACCTGCCTTTGAGAGTTCAGGTTCGAAACACTCTTTCTGTATAATCTGCAAGTGGATATTTGGACCACTGGGTGGCCTTCGTTCGAAACGGGTATATGTTCACGTAAAAACTAAAGAGAAGCATTCTCAGAAACTTCTGAGTGATGATTGCATTCAAGTCACACAGTTGAACCCTCCTTTTGATGGAGCAGTTTTGAAACTGTCTTTTTGTAGAATCTGTAAGTGGATACGTGGACCTCTTTGAAGATTTCTTTGGAAACGGGAATATTTCCACAGAAAAACTAAACTGAAACATTCTCAGAAACCGCTTTGTGATGTTTGTGTTCCAGCCACAGAGTTTAACATTGCTTTTCATAGAGCAGTTTTGAAATATTCTTTTGGCAGAATCTGCAAGTGGACATTTGGAGCGCTTTCAGGCCTGTGGTGGAAAAGGCCTGAAAGCCTTTTCCTTTATCTTCACAGAAAGACGAGAGAGAAGCATTGTCAGAAACTTCTTTGTGATGATTGCATTCAACTCACAGAGTTGAAGATTCCTTTTGAAACAGCAGTTTCGAAACACTCTTTCTGTGGGATCCGCAAGGGGATATTTGGACCTCTTTGAAGGTTTCGTTGGAAACGGGATAATCTTCACCTAAAAGCTAAACGGAAGCATTCTCAGAAACTTCTTTGGGATGTTTGCATTCACCTCACAGAGTTGAACTTTCCCTTTGATAGCGCAGCTTTGACACACTTTTTCTACAATGTGCAAGTGGCTATTTAGCGGGCTTGGAGGACTGTGTTGGAAAAGGAAATATCTTCTCCTAAAAACGACATAGAAGCATTCTCAGAAACTGCTCTGTGATGATTGCATTCAACTCCCAGAGTTGAACATTCCTTTTGATAGAGCAGTTTGCAAACACTCTTTTTGTAGAATCTGGAAGTGGAGATTTGGACCGCTTTGAGGCCTGTGATAGTGAAGGAAAGAGCTTCATATAAAAACCAGACGGTAGCACTCTCAGAAAATTCTTTGTGACGATGGAGTTTAACTCAGGGAGCTGAACATTTGTTATGATGGAGCAGTTTCCAAACACACGTTTTGTAGAATCTGCAAGGGGATATTTGGACCTCTCTGAGGATTTCGTTGGAAACGGGATCAACTTCCCATAACTGAACGGAAGCAAACTCAGAACATTCTTTGTGATGTTTGTATTCAACTCACAGAGTTGAACCTTCCTTTGATAGTTCAGGTTTGCAACACCCTTGTAGTAGAATCTGCAAGTGTATATTTTGACCACTTTGTAGCCTTCATTTGAAACGTCTATATCTTCACATCAAACCTAGACAGAAGCATTCTCAGAAAGTTTTCTGCGATGACTGCATTCAACTCACAGAGTTGAACAATCCTTCTGATGGAGCAGTTTTGAAACCCTCTTTCTTTGGAATGTGCAAGGGGATATGTGGACCTCTTTGAAGATTTCACTGGAAACGGGATCATCTTCACATAAAAACTAAACAGAAGCATTCTCGGAAACTACTTTGTGATGTTTGTATTCAACTCCCAGAGTTGAACTTTCCTTTTGAAAGAGCAGCTATGAAACACTCTTTTTCGAGAATCTGCAAGTGGACGTTTGGAGGGCTTGGAGGCCTGTGGTGGAAAAGGAAATACCTTCACATAAAAACTAGATAGAAGCATTCTCAGAAACTACTTTGTGAGGATGGCATTCAACTCATGGAGTTGAACAATCCTATTGATAGAGCAGATTGGAATCACTCTTTTTGTAGAATCTGCAAATGGAGATTTGGACTGCTTTGAGGCCTACGGTCGTATAGGAAGGAACTTCAGATAAAAGGCAAACGGAAGCATTCTCAGAATATTCTTTGTGATGATGGAGTTTCACTCACAGAGCTGAACATGCCTTTTGATGGAGCAGTTTCCAAATACACTTTTGGTAGAATCTGCAGGTGGATATTTGGAGCTCTCTGAGGATTTCGTTGGAAACGGGAATAATTTCCCATAACTAAACACAAACACTCTGAGAAAGTTCTTCATGATGAATGCATTTAACTCGCAGAGATGAACCTGCCTTTGAGAGTTCAGGTTCGAAACACTCTTTCTGTAGAATCTGCAAGTGGATATTTGGACCACTGGGTGGCCTTCGTTCGAAACGGGTATATGTTCACGTAAAAACTAAAGAGAAGCATTCTCAGAAACTTCTGAGTGATGATTGCATTCAAGTCACACAGTTGAACCCTCCTTTTGATGGAGCAGTTTTGAAACTGTCTTTTTGTAGAATCTGTAAGTGGATACGTGGACCTCTTTGAAGATTTCTTTGGAAACGGGAATATTTCCACAGAAAAACTAAACTGAAGCATTCTCAGAAACCGCTTTGTGATGTTTGTGTTCGAGCCGCAGAGTTTAACATTGCTTTTCATAGAGCAGTTTTGAAATATTCTTTTGGCAGAATCTGCAAGTGGACATTTGGAGCGCTTTCAGGCTTGTGGTGGAAAAGGCCTGAAAGCCTTTTCCTTTATCTTCACAGAAAGACGAGAGAGAAGCATTGTCAGAAACTTCTTTGTGATGATTGCATTCAACTCACAGAGTTGAAGATTCCTTTTGAAACAGCAGTTTCGAAACACTCTTTCTGTGGGATCCGCAAGGGGATATTTGGACCTCTTTGAAGGTTTCGTTGGAAACGGGATAATCTTCACCTAAAAGCTAAACGGAAGCATTCTCAGAAACTTCTTTGGGATGTTTGCATTCACCTCACAGAGTTGAACTTTCCCTTTGATAGCGCAGCTTTGACACACTTTTTCTACAATGTGCAAGTGACTATTTAGCGGGCTTGGAGGACTGTGTTGGAAAAGGAAATATCTTCTCCTAAAAACGACATAGAAGCATTCTCAGAAACTGCTCTGTGATGATTGCATTCAACTCCCAGAGTTGAACATTCCTTTTGATAGAGCAGTTTGCAAACACTCTTTTTGTAGAATCTGCAAGTGGAGATTTGGACCGCTTTGAGGCCTGTGGTAGTGAAGGAAAGAACTTCATATAAAAACCAGACGGTAGCACTCTCAGAAAATTCTTTGTGACGATGGAGTTTAACTCAGGGAGCTGAACATTCGTTATGATGGAGCAGTTTCCAAACACACGTTTTGTAGAATCTGCGAGGGGATATTTCGACCTCTCTGAGGATTTCGTTGGAAACGGGATCAACTTCCCATAACTGAACGGAAGCAAACTCAGAACATTCTTTGTGATGTTTGTATTCAACTCACAGAGTTGAACCTTCCTTTGATAGTTCAGGTTTGCAACACCCTTGTAGTAGAATCTGCAAGTGTATATTTTGACCACTTTGTAGCCTTCATTTGAAACGTCTATATCTTCACATCAAACCTAGACAGAAGCATTCTCAGAAAGTTTTCTGCGATGACTGCATTCAACTCACAGAGTTGAACAATCCTTTTGATGGAGCAGTTTTGAAACCCTCTTTCTTTGGAATCTGCAAGGGGATATGTGGACCTCTTTGAAGATTTCACTGGAAACGGGATCATCTTCACATAAGAACTAAACAGAAGCATTCTCGGAAACTATTTTGTGATGTTTGTATTCAACTCACAGAGTTGAACTTTCCTTTTGAAAGAGCAGCTATGAAACACTCTTTTTCGAGAATCTGCAAGTGGACGTTTGGAGGGCTTTGAGGCCTGTGGTGGAAAAGGAAATATCTTCACACAAAAACCAGATAGAAGCATTCTCAGAAACGACTTTGTGAGGATGGCATTCAACTCATGGAGTTGAACAATCCTATTGATAGAGCAGATTGGAATCACTCTTTTTGTAGAATCTGCAAATGGAGATTTGGACTGCTTTGAGGCCTACGGTAGTACAGGAAGGAACTTCATATAAAAGGCAAACGGAAGCATTCTCAGAATATTCTTTGTGATGATGGAGTTTCACTCACAGAGCTGAACATGCCTTTTGATGGAGCAGTTTCCAAATACACTTTTGGTAGAATCTGCAGGTGGATATTTGGAGCTCTCTGAGGATTTCGTTGGAAACGGGAATAATTTCCCATAACTAAACACAAACACTCTGAGAAAGTTCTTCATGATGAATGCATTTAACTCGCAGAGATGAACCTGCCTTTGAGAGTTCAGGTTCGAAACACTCTTTCTGTATAATCTGCAAGTGGATATTTGGACCACTGGGTGGCCTTCGTTCGAAACGGGTATATGTTCACGTAAAAACTAAAGAGAAGCATTCTCAGAAACTTCTGAGTGATGATTGCATTCAAGTCACACGGTTGAACCCTCCTTTTGATGGAGCAGATTTGAAACTGTCTTTTTGTAGAATCTGTAAGTGGATACGTGGACCTCTTTGAAGATTTCTTTGGAAACGGGAATATTTCCACAGAAAAACTAAACTGAAGCATTCTCAGAAACCGCTTTGTGATGTTTGTGTTCGAGCCACAGAGTTTAACATTGCTTTTCATAGAGCAGTTTTGAAATATTCTTTTCGCAGAATCTGCAAGTGGACATTTGGAGCGCTTTCAGGCCTGTGGTGGAAAAGGCCTGAAAGCCTTTTCCTTTATCTTCACAGAAAGACGAGAGAGAAGCATTGTCAGAAACTTCTTTGTGATGATTGCATTCAACTCACAGAGTTGAAGATTCCTTTTGAAACAGCAGTTTCGAAACACTCTTTCTGTGGGATCCGCAAGGGGATATTTGGACCTCTTTGAAGGTTTCGTTGGAAACGGGATAATCTTCACCTAAAAGCTAAACGGAAGCACTCTCAGAAACTTCTTTGGGATGTTTGCATTCACCTCACAGAGTTGAACTTTCCCTTTGATAGCGCAGCTTTGACACACTTTTTCTACAATGTGCAAGTGGCTATTTAGCGGGCTTGGAGGACTGTGTTGGAAAAGGAAATATCTTCTCCTAAAAACGACATAGAAGCATTCTCAGAAACTGCTCTGTGATGATTGCATTCAACTCCCAGGGTTGAACATTCCTTTTGATAGAGCAGTTTGCAAACACTCTTTTTGTAGAATCTGCAAGTGGAGATTTGGACCGCTTTGAGGCCTATGGTAGTAAAGGAAAGAACTTCATATAAAAACCAGACGGTAGCACTCTCAGAAAATTCTTTGTGACGATGGAGTTTAACTCAGGGAGCTGAACATTCGTTATGATGGAGCAGTTTCCAAACACACGTTTTGTAGAAACTGCAAGGGGATATTTGGACCTCTCTGAGGATTTCGCTGGAAACGGGATCAACTTCCCATAACTGAACGGAAGCAAACTCAGAACATTCTTTGTGATGTTTGTATTCAACTCACAGAGTTGAACCTTCCTTTGATAGTTCAGGTTTGCAACACCCTTGTAGTAGAATCTGCAAGTGTATATTTTGACCACTTTGTAGCCTTCGTTTGAAACGTCTATATCTTCACATCAAACCTAGAAAGAAGCATTCTCAGAAAGTTTTCTGCGATGACTGCATTCCACTCACAGAGTTGAACAATCCTTCTGATGGAGCAGTTTTGAAACCCTCTTTCTTTGGAATCTGCAAGGGGATATGTGGACCTCTTTGAAGATTTCACTGGAAACGGGATCATCTTCACATAAAAACTAAACAGAAGCATTCTCGGAAACTACTTTGTGATGTTTGTATTCAACTGCCAGAGTTGAACTTTCCTTTTGAAAGAGCAGCTATGAAACACTCTTTTTCGAGAATCTGCAAGTGGACGTTTGGAGGGCTTGGAGGCCTGTGGTGGAAAAGGAAATATCTTCACATAAAAACTAGATAGAAGCATTCTCAGAAACTACTTTGTGAGGATGGCATTCAACTCATGGAGTTGAACAATCCTATTGATAGAGCAGATTGGAATCACTCTTTTTGTAGAATCTGCAAATGGAGATTTGGACTGCTTTGAGGCCTACGGTCGTATAGGAAGGAACTTCATATAAAAGGCAAACGGAAGCATTCTCAGAATATTCTTTGTGATGATGGAGTTTCACTCACAGAGCTGAACATGCCTTTTGATGGAGCAGTTTCCAAATACACTTTTGGTAGAATCTGCAGGTGGATATTTGGAGCTCTTTGAGGATTTCGTTGGAAACGGGAATAATTTCCCATAACTAAACACAAACACGCTGAGAAAGTTCTTCATGATGAATGCATTTAACTCGCAGAGATGAACCTGCCTTTGAGAGTTCAGGTTCGAAACACTCTTTCTGTAGAATCTGCAAGTGGATATTTGGACCACTGGGTGGCCTTCGTTCGAAACGGGTATATGTTCACGTAAAAACTAAAGAGAAGCATTCTCAGAAACTTCTGAGTGATGATTGCATTCAAGTCACACAGTTGAACCCTCCTTTTGATGGAGCAGTTTTGAAACTGTCTTTTTGTAGAATCTGTAAGTGGATACGTGGACCTCTTTGAAGATTTCTTTGGAAACGGGAATATTTCCACAGAAAAACTAAACTGAAGCATTCTCAGAAACCGCTTTGTGATGTTTGTGTTCGAGCCGCAGAGTTTAACATTGCTTTTCATAGAGCAGTTTTGAAATATTCTTTTGGCAGAATCTGCAAGTGGACATTTGGAGCGCTTTCAGGCCTGTGGTGGAAAAGGCCTGAAAGCCTTTTCCTTTATCTTCACAGAAAGACGAGAGAGAAGCATTGTCAGAAACTTCTTTGTGATGATTGCATTCAACTCACAGAGTTGAAGATTCCTTTTGAAACAGCAGTTTCGAAACACTCTTTCTGTGGGATCCGCAAGGGGATATTTGGACCTCTTTGAAGGTTTCGTTGGAAACGGGATAATCTTCACCTAAAAGCTAAACGGAAGCATTCTCAGAAACTTCTTTGGGATGTTTGCATTCACCTCACAGAGTTGAACTTTCCCTTTGATAGCGCAGCTTTGACACACTTTTTCTACAATGTGCAAGTGGCTATTTAGCGGGCTTGGAGGACTGTGTTGGAAAAGGAAATATCTTCTCCTAAAAACGACATAGAAGCATTCTCAGAAACTGCTCTGTGATGATTGCATTCAACTCCCAGAGTTGAACATTCCTTTTGATAGAGCAGTTTGCAAACACTCTTTTTGTAGAATCTGCAAGTGGAGATTTGGACCGCTTTGAGGCCTGTGGTAGTGAAGGAAAGAGCTTCATATAAAAACCAGACGGTAGCACTCTCAGAAAATTCTTTGTGACGATGGAGTTTAACTCAGGGAGCTGAACATTCGTTATGATGGAGCAGTTTCCAAACACACGTTTTGTAGAATCTGCAAGGGGATATTTGGACCTCTCTGAGGATTTCGTTGGAAACGGGATCAACTTCCCATAACTGAACGGAAGCAAACTCAGAACATTCTTTGTGATGTTTGTATTCAACTCACATAGTTGAACCTTCCTTTGATAGTTCAGGTTTGCAACACCCTTGTAGTAGAATCTGCAAGTGTATATTTTGACCACTTTGTAGCCTTCGTTTGAAACGTCTATATCTTCACATCAAACCTAGACAGAAGCATTCTCAGAAAGTTTTCTGCGATGACTGCATTCAACTCACAGAGTTGAACAATCCTTCTGATGGAGCAGTTTTGAAACCCTCTTTCTTTGGAATCTGCAAGGGGATATGTGGACCTCTTTGAAGATTTCACTGGAAACGGGATCATCTTCACATAAAAACTAAACAGAAGCATTCTCGGAAACTACTTTGTGATGTTTGTATTCAACTCCCAGAGTTGAACTTTCCTTTTGAAAGAGCAGCTATGAAACACTCTTTTTCGAGAATCTGCAAGTGGACGTTTGGAGGGCTTTGAGGCCTGTGGTGGAAAAGGAAATATCTTCACATAAAAACTAGATAGAAGCATTCTCAGAAACGACTTTGTGAGGATGGCATTCAACTCATGGAGTTGAACAATCCTATTGATAGAGCAGATTGGAATCACTCTTTTTGTAGAATCTGCAAATGGAGATTTGGACTGCTTTGAGGCCTACGGTCGTATAGGAAGGAACTTCATATAAAAGGCAAACGGAAGCATTCTCAGAATATTCTTTGTGATGATGGAGTTTCACTCACAGAGCTGAACATGCCTTTTGATGGAGCAGTTTCCAAATACACTTTTGGTAGAATCTGCAGGTGGATATTTGGAGCTCTCTGAGGATTTCGTTGGAAACGGGAATAATTTCCCATAACTAAACACAAACACTCTGAGAAAGTTCTTCATGATGAATGCATTTAACTCGCAGAGATGAACCTGCCTTTGAGAGTTCAGGTTCGAAACACTCTTTCTGTAGAATCTGCAAGTGGATATTTGGACCACTGGCTGGCCTTCGTTCGAAACGGGTATATGTTCACGTAAAAACTAAAGAGAAGCATTCTCAGAAACTTCTGAGTGATGATTGCATTCAAGTCACACAGTTGAACCCTCCTTTTGATGGAGCAGTTTTGAAACTGTCTTTTTGTAGAATCTGTAAGTGGATACGTGGACCTCTTTGAAGATTTCCTTTGGAAACGGGAATATTTCCACAGAAAAACTAAACTGAAGCATTCTCAGAAACTGCTTTGTGATGTTTGTGTTCGAGCCACAGAGTTTAACATTGCTTTTCATAGAGCAGTTTTGAAATATTCTTTTGGCAGAATCTACAAGTGGACATTTGGAGCGCTTTCAGGCCTGTGGTGGAAAAGGCCTGAAAGCCTTTTCCTTTATCTTCACAGAAAGACGAGAGAGAAGCATTGTCAGAAACTTCTTTGTGATGATTGCATTCAACTCACAGAGTTGAAGATTCCTTTTGAAACAGCAGTTTCGAAACACTCTTTCTGTGGGATCCGCAAGGGGATATTTGGACCTCTTTGAAGGTTTCGTTGGAAACGGGATAATCTTCACCTAAAAGCTAAACGGAAACATTCTCAGAAACTTCTTTGGGATGTTTGCATTCACCTCACAGAGTTGAACTTTCCCTTTGATAGCGCAGCTTTGACACACTTTTTCTACAATGTGCAAGTGGCTATTTAGCGGGCTTGGAGGACTGTGTTGGAAAAGGAAATATCTTCTCCTAAAAACGACATAGAAGCATTCTCAGAAACTGCTCTGTGATGATTGCATTCAACTCCCAGAGTTGAACATTCCTTTTGATAGAGCAGTTTGCAAACACTCTTTTTGTAGAATCTGCAAGTGGAGATTTGGACCGCTTTGAGGCCTGTGGTAGTGAAGGAAAGAACTTCATATAAAAACCAGACGGTAGCACTCTCAGAAAATTCTTTGTGACGATGGAGTTTAACTCAGGGAGCTGAACATTCGTTATGATGGAGCAGTTTCCAAACACACGTTTTGTAGAATCTGCGAGGGGATATTTGGACCTCTCTGAGGATTTCGTTGGAAACGGGATCAACTTCCCATAACTGAACGGAAGCAAACTCAGAACATTCTTTGTGATGTTTGTATTCAATTCACAGAGTTGAACCTTCCTTTGATAGTTCAGGTTTGCAACACCCTTGTAGTAGAATCTGCAAGTGTATATTTTGACCACTTTGTAGCCTTCGTTTGAAACGTCTATATCTTCACATCAAACCTAGACAGAAGCATTCTCAGAAAGTTTTCTACGATGACTGCATTCAACTCACAGAGTTGAACAATCCTTCTGATGGAGCAGTTTTTAAACCCTCTTTCTTTGGAATCTGCAAGGGGATATGTGGACCTCTTTGAAGATTTCACTGGAAACGGGATCATCTTCACATAAAAACTAAACAGAAGCATTCTCGGAAACTAATTTGTGATGTTTGTATTCAACTCCCAGAGTTGAACATTCCTTTTGAAAGAGCAGCTATGAAACACTCTTTTTCGAGAATCTGCAAGTGGACGTTTGGAGGGCTTTGAGGCCTGTGGTGGAAAAGGAAATATCTTCACATAAAAACTAGATAGAAGCATTCTCAGAAACTACTTTGTGAGGATGGCATTCAACTCATGGAGTTGAACAATCCTATTGATAGAGCAGATTGGAATCACTCTTTTTATAGAATCTGCAAATGGAGATTTGGACTGCTTTGAGGCCTACGGTAGTACAGGAAGGAACTTCATATAAAAGGCAAACGGAAGCATTCTCAGAATATTCTTTGTGATGATGGAGTTTCACTCACAGAGCTGAACATGCCTTTTGATGGAGCAGTTTCCAAATACACTTTTGGTAGAATCTGCAGGTGGATATTTGGAGCTCTCTGAGGATTTCGTTGGAAAAGGGAATAATTTCCCATAACTAAACACAAACACTCTGAGAAAGTTCTTCATGATGAATGCATTTAACTCGCAGAGATGAACCTGCCTTTGAGAGTTCAGGTTCGAAACACTCTTTCTGTATAATCTGCAAGTGGATATTTGGACCACTGGGTGGCCTTCGTTCGAAACGGGTATATGTTCACGTAAAAACTAAAGAGAAGCATTCTCAGAAACTTCTGAGTGATGATTGCATTCAAGTCACACAGTTGAACCCTCCTTTTGATGGAGCAGTTTTGAAACTGTCTTTTTGTAGAATCTGTAAGTGGATACGTGGACCTCTTTGAAGATTTCTTTGGAAACGGGAATATTTCCACAGAAAAACTAAACTGAAACATTCTCAGAAACCGCTTTGTGATGTTTGTGTTCCAGCCACAGAGTTTAACATTGCTTTTCATAGAGCAGTTTTGAAATATTCTTTTCGCAGAATCTGCAAGTGGACATTTGGAGCGCTTTCAGGCCTGTGGGTGGAAAAGGCCTGAAAGCCTTTTCCTTTATCTTCACAGAAAGACGAGAGAGAAGCATTGTCAGAAACTTCTTTGTGATGATTGCATTCAACTCACAGAGTTGAAGATTCCTTTTGAAACAACAGTTTCGAAACACTCTTTCTGTGGGATCCGCAAGGTGATATTTGGACCTCTTTGAAGGTTTCATTGGAAACGGGATAATCTTCACCTAAAAGCTAAACGGAAGCATTCTCAGAAACTTCTTTGGGATGTTTGCATTCACCTCACAGAGTTGAACTTTCCCTTTGATAGCGCAGCTTTGACACACTTTTTCTACAATGTGCAAGTGGCTATTTAGCGGGCTTGGAGGACTGTGTTGGAAAAGGAAATATCTTCTCCTAAAAACGACATAGAAGCATTCTCAGAAACTGCTCTGTGATGATTGCATTCAACTCCCAGAGTTGAACATTCCTTTTGATAGAGCAGTTTGCAAACACTCTTTTTGTAGAATCTGCAAGTGGAGATTTGGACCGCTTTGAGGCCTGTGGTAGTGAAGGAAAGAGCTTCATATAAAAACCAGACGGTAGCACTCTCAGAAAATTCTTTGTGACGATGGAGTTTAACTCAGGGAGCTGAACATTCGTTATGATGGAGCAGTTTCCAAACACACGTTTTGTAGAATCTGCAAGGGGATATTTGGACCTCTCTGAGGATTTCGTTGGAAACGGGATCAACTTCCCATAACTGAACGGAAGCAAACTCAGAACATTCTTTGTGATGTTTGTATTCAACTCACAGAGTTGAACCTTCCTTTGATAGTTCAGGTTTGCAACACCCTTGTAGTAGAATCTGCAAGTGTATATTTTGACCACTTTGTAGCCTTCGTTTGAAACGTCTATATCTTCACATCAAACCTAGACAGAAGCATTCTCAGAAAGTTTTCTGCGATGACTGCATTCAACTCACAGAGTTGAACAATCCTTCTGATGGAGCAGTTTTGAAACCCTCTTTCTTTGGAATCTGCAAGGGGATATGTGGACCTCTTTGAAGATTTCACTGGAAACGGGATCATCTTCACATAAAAACTAAACAGAAGCATTCTCGGAAACTACTTTGTGATGTTTGTATTCAACTCCCAGAGTTGAACTTTCCTTTTGAAAGAGCAGCTATGAAACACTCTTTTTCGAGAATCTGCAAGTGGACGTTTGGAGGGCTTTGAGGCCTGTGGTGGAAAAGGAAATATCTTCACATAAAAACTAGATAGAAGCATTCACAGAAACGACTTTGTGAGGATGGCATTCAACTCATGGAGTTGAACAATCCTATTGATAGAGCAGATTGGAATCACTCTTTTAGTAGAATCTGCAAATGGAGATTTGGACTGCTTTGAGGCCTACGGTCGTATAGGAAGGAACTTCATATAAAAGGCAAACGGAAGCATTCTCAGAATATTCTTTGTGATGATGGAGTTTCACTCACAGAGCTGAACATGCCTTTTGATGGAGCAGTTTCCAAATACACTTTTGGTAGAATCTGCAGGTGGATATTTGGAGCTCTCTGAGGATTTCGTTGGAAACGGGAATAATTTCCCATAACTAAACACAAACACTCTGAGAAAGTTCTTCATGATGAATGCATTTAACTCGCAGAGATGAACCTGCCTTTGAGAGTTCAGGTTCGAAACACTCTTTCTGTAGAATCTGCAAGTGGATATTTGGACCACTGGCTGGCCTTCGTTCGAAACGGGTATATGTTCACGTAAAAACTAAAGAGAAGCATTCTCAGAAACTTCTGAGTGATGATTGCATTCAAGTCACACAGTTGAACCCTCCTTTTGATGGAGCAGTTTTGAAACTGTCTTTTTGTAGAATCTGTAAGTGGATACGTGGACCTCTTTGAAGATTTCCTTTGGAAACGGGAATATTTCCACAGAAAAACTAAACTGAAGCATTCTCAGAAACTGCTTTGTGATGTTTGTGTTCGAGCCACAGAGTTTAACATTGCTTTTCATAGAGCAGTTTTGAAATATTCTTTTGGCAGAATCTACAAGTGGACATTTGGAGCGCTTTCAGGCCTGTGGTGGAAAAGGCCTGAAAGCCTTTTCCTTTATCTTCACAGAAAGACGAGAGAGAAGCATTGTCAGAAACTTCTTTGTGATGATTGCATTCAACTCACAGAGTTGAAGATTCCTTTTGAAACAGCAGTTTCGAAACACTCTTTCTGTGGGATCCGCAAGGGGATATTTGCACCTCTTTGAAGGTTTCGTTGGAAACGGGATAATCTTCACCTAAAAGCTAAACGGAAACATTCTCAGAAACTTCTTTGGGATGTTTGCATTCACCTCACAGAGTTGAACTTTCCCTTTGATAGCGCAGCTTTGACACACTTTTTCTACAATGTGCAAGTGGCTATTTAGCGGGCTTGGAGGACTGTGTTGGAAAACGAAATATCTTCTCCTAAAAACGACATAGAAGCATTCTCAGAAACTGCTCTGTGATGATTGCATTCAACTCCCAGAGTTGAACATTCCTTTTGATAGAGCAGTTTGCAAACACTCTTTTTGTAGAATCTGCAAGTGGAGATTTGGACCGCTTTGAGGCCTGTGGTAGTGAAGGAAAGAACTTCATATAAAAACCAGACGGTAGCACTCTCAGAAAATTCTTTGTGACGATGGAGTTTAACTCAGGGAGCTGAACATTCGTTATGATGGAGCAGTTTCCAAACACACGTTTTGTAGAATCTGCGAGGGGATATTTGGACCTCTCTGAGGATTTCGTTGGAAACGGGATCAACTTCCCATAACTGAACGGAAGCAAACTCAGAACATTCTTTGTGATGTTTGTATTCAACTCACAGAGTTGAACCTTCCTTTGATAGTTCAGGTTTGCAACACCCTTGTAGTAGAATCTGCAAGTGTATATTTTGACCACTTTGTAGCCTTCGTTTGAAACGTCTATATCTTCACATCAAACCTAGACAGAAGCATTCTCAGAAAGTTTTCTGCGATGACTGCATTCAACTCACAGAGTTGAACAATCCTTCTGATGGAGCAGTTTTGAAACCCTCTTTCTTTGGAATCTGCAAGGGGATATGTGGACCTCTTTGAAGATTTCACTGGAAACGGGATCATCTTCACATAAAAACTAAACAGAAGCATTCTCGGAAACTATTTTGTGATGTTTGTATTCAACTCCCAGAGTTGAACTTTCCTTTTGAAAGAGCAGCTATGAAACACTCTTTTTCGAGAATCTGCAAGTGGACGTTTGGAGGGCTTTGAGGCCTGTGGTGGAAAAGGAAATATCTTCACACAAAAACCAGATAGAAGCATTCTCAGAAACGACTTTGTGAGGATGGCATTCAACTCATGGAGTTGAACAATCCTATTGATAGAGCAGATTGGAATCACTCTTTTTGTAGAATCTGCAAATGGAGATTTGGACTGCTTTGAGGCCTACGGTAGTATAGGAAGGAACTTCATATAAAAGGCAAACGGAAGCATTCTCAGAATATTCTTTGTGATGATGGAGTTTCACTGACAGAGCTGAACATGCCTTTTGATGGAGCAGTTTCCAAATACACTTTTGGTAGAATCTGCAGGTGGATATTTGGAGCTCTCTGAGGATTTCGTTGGAAACGGGAATAATTTCCCATAACTAAACACAAACACTCTGAGAAAGTTCTTCATGATGAATGCATTTAACTCGCAGAGATGAACCTGCCTTTGAGAGTTCAGGTTCGAAACACTCTTTCTGTAGAATCTGCAAGTGGATATTTGGACCACTGGCTGGCCTTCGTTCGAAACGGGTATATGTTCACGTAAAAACTAAAGAGAAGCATTCTCAGAAACTTCTGAGTGATGATTGCATTCAAGTCACACAGTTGAACCCTCCTTTTGATGGAGCAGTTTTGAAACTGTCTTTTTGTAGAATCTGTAAGTGGATGCGTGGACCTCTTTGAAGATTTCTTTGGAAACGGGAATATTTCCACAGAAAAACTAAACTGAAGCATTCTCAGAAACCGCTTTGTGATGTTTGTGTTCGAGCCGCAGAGTTTAACATTGCTTTTCATAGAGCAGTTTTGAAATATTCTTTTGGCAGAATCTGCAAGTGGACATTTGGAGCGCTTTCAGGCCTGTGGTGGAAAAGGCCTGAAAGCCTTTTCCTTTATCTTCACAGAAAGACGAGAGAGAGAGCATTGTCAGAAACTTCTTTGTGATGATTGCATTCAACTCACAGAGTTGAAGATTCCTTTTGAAACAGCAGTTTCGAAACACTCTTTCTGTGGGATCCGCAAGGGGATATTTGGACTTCTTTGAAGATTTCGTTGGAAACGGGATAATCTTCACCTAAAAGCTAAACGGAGCATTCTCAGAAACTTCTTTGGGATGTTTGCATTCACCTCACAGAGTTGAACTTTCCCTTTGATAGCGCAGCTTTGACACACTTTTTCTACAATGTGCAAGTGGCTATTTAGCGGGCTTGGAGGACTGTGTTGGAAAAGGAAATATCTTCTCCTAAAAACGACATAGAAGCATTCTCAGAAACTGCTCTGTGATGATTGCATTCAACTCCCAGAGTTGAACATTCCTTTTGATAGAGCAGTTTGCAAACACTCTTTTTGTAGAATCTGCAAGTGGAGATTTGGACCGCTTTGAGGCCTGTGGTAGTGAAGGAAAGAACTTCATATAAAAACCAGACGGTAGCACTCTCAGAAAATTCTTTGTGACGATGGAGTTTAACTCAGGGAGCTGAACATTCGTTATGATGGAGCAGTTTCCAAACACACGTTTTGTAGAATCTGCGAGGGGATATTTGGACCTCTCTGAGGATTTCGTTGGAAACGGGATCAACTTCCCATAACTGAACGGAAGCAAACTCAGAACATTCTTTGTGATGTTTGTATTCAATTCACAGAGTTGAACCTTCCTTTGATAGTTCAGGTTTGCAACACCCTTGTAGTAGAATCTGCAAGTGTATATTTTGACCACTTTGTAGCCTTCGTTTGAAACGTCTATATCTTCACATCAAACCTAGACAGAAGCATTCTCAGAAAGTTTTCTGCGATGACTGCATTCAACTCACACAGTTGAACAATCCTTCTGATGGAGCAGTTTTGAAACCCTCTTTCTTTGGAATCTGCAAGGGGATATGTGGACCTCTTTGAAGATTTCACTGGAAACGGGATCATCTTCACATAAAAACTAAACAGAAGCATTCTCGGAAACTATTTTGTGATGTTTGTATTCAACTCCCAGAGTTGAACTTTCCTTTTGAAAGAGCAGCTATGAAACACTCTTTTTCGAGAATCTGCAAGTGGACGTTTGGAGGGCTTTGAGGCCTGTGGTGGAAAAGGAAATATCTTCACACAAAAACCAGATAGAAGCATTCTCAGAAACGACTTTGTGAGGATGGCATTCAACTCATGGAGTTGAACAATCCTATTGATAGAGCAGATTGGAATCACTCTTTTTGTAGAATCTGCAAATGGAGATTTGGACTGCTTTGAGGCCTACGGTAGTATAGGAAGGAACTTCATATAAAAGGCAAACGGAAGCATTCTCAGAATATTCTTTGTGATGATGGAGTTTCACTGACAGAGCTGAACATGCCTTTTGATGGAGCAGTTTCCAAATACACTTTTGGTAGAATCTGCAGGTGGATATTTGGAGCTCTCTGAGGATTTCGTTGGAAACGGGAATAATTTCCCATAACTAAACACAAAACACTCTGAGAAAGTTCTTCATGATGAATGCATTTAACTCGCAGAGTATGAACCTGCCTTTGAGAGTTCAGGTTCGAAACACTCTTTCTGTAGAATCTGCAAGTGGATATTTGGACCACTGGGTGGCCTTCGTTCGAAACGGGTATATGTTCACGTAAAAACTAAAGAGAAGCATTCTCAGAAACTTCTGAGTGATGATTGCATTCAAGTCACACAGTTGAACCCTCCTTTTGATGGAGCAGTTTTGAAACTGTCTTTTTGTAGAATCTGTAAGTGGATACGTGGACCTCTTTGAAGATTTCTTTGGAAACGGGAATATTTCCACAGAAAAACTAAACTGAAGCATTCTCAGAAACCGCTTTGTGATGTTTGTGTTCGAGCCACAGAGTTTAACATTGCTTTTCATAGAGCAGTTTTGAAATATTCTTTTCGCAGAATCTGCAAGTGGACATTTGGAGCGCTTTCAGGCCTGTGGTGGAAAAGGCCTGAAAGCCTTTTCCTTTATCTTCACAGAAAGACGAGAGAGAAGCATTGTCAGAAACTTCTTTGTGATGATTGCATTCAACTCACAGAGTTGAAGATTCCTTTTGAAACAGCAGTTTCGAAACACTCTTTCTGTGGGATCCGCAAGGGGATATTTGGACCTCTTTGAAGGTTTCATTGGAAACGGGATAATCTTCACCTAAAAGCTAAACGGAAGCATTCTCAGAAACTTCTTTGGGATGTTTGCATTCACCTCACAGAGTTGAACTTTCCCTTTGATAGCGCAGCTTTGACACACTTTTTCTACAATGTGCAAGTGGATCTTTAGCGGGCTTGGAGGTCTGTGTTGGAAAAGGAAATATCTTCTCCTAAAAACGACATAGAAGCATTCTCAGAAACTGCTCTGTGATGATTGCATTCAACTCCCAGAGTTGAACATTCCTTTTGATAGAGCAGTTTGCAAACACTCTTTTTGTAGAATCTGCAAGTGGAGATTTGGACCGCTTTGAGGCCTGTGGTAGTGAAGGAAAGAACTTCATATAAAAACCAGACGGTAGCACTCTCAGAAAATTCTTTGTGACGATGGAGTTTAACTCAGGGAGCTGAACATTCGTTATGATGGAGCAGTTTCCAAACACACGTTTTGTAGAATCTGCAAGGGGATATTTGGACCTCTCTGAGGATTTCGTTGGAAACGGGATCAACTTCCCATAACTGAACGGAAGCAAACTCAGAACATTCTTTGTGATGTTTGTATTCAATTCACAGAGTTGAACCTTCCTTTGATAGTTCAGGTTTGCAACACCCTTGTAGTAGAATCTGCAAGTGTATATTTTGACCACTTTGTAGCCTTCGTTTGAAACGTCTATATCTTCACATCAAACCTAGACAGAAGCATTCTCAGAAAGTTTTCTGCGATGACTGCATTCAACTCACAGAGTTGAACAATCCTTCTGATGGAGCAGTTTTGAAACCCTCTTTCTTTGGAATCTGCAAGGGGATATGTGGACCTCTTTGAAGATTTCACTGGAAACGGGATCATCTTCACATAAAAACTAAACAGAAGCATTCTCGGAAACTACTTTGTGATGTTTGTATTCAACTCCCAGAGTTGAACTTTCCTTTTGAAAGAGCAGCTATAAAACACTCTTTTTCGAGAATCTGCAAGTGGACGTTTGGAGGGCTTTGAGGCCTGTGGTGGAAAAGGAAATATCTTCACACAAAAACCAGATAGAAGCATTCTCAGAAACTACTTTGTGAGGATGGCATTCAACTCATGGAGTTGAACAATCCTATTGATAGAGCAGATTGGAATCACTCTTTTTATAGAATCTGCAAATGGAGATTTGGACTGCTTTGAGGCCTACGGTAGTACAGGAAGGAACTTCATATAAAAGGCAAACGGAAGCATTCTCAGAATATTCATTGTGATGATGGAGTTTCACTCACAGAGCTGAACATGCCTTTTGATGGAGCAGTTTCCAAATACACTTTTGGTAGAATCTGCAGGTGGATATTTGGAGCTCTCTGAGGATTTCGTTGGAAACGGGAATAATTTCCCATAACTAAACACAAACACGCTGAGAAAGTTCTTCATGATGAATGCATTTAACTCGCAGAGATGAACCTGCCTTTGAGAGTTCAGGTTCGAAACACACTTTCTGTATAATCTGCAAGTGGATATTTGGACCACTGGGTGGCCTTCGTTCGAAACGGGTATATGTTCACGTAAAAACTAAAGAGAAGCATTCTCAGAAACTTCTGAGTGATGATTGCATTCAAGTCACACAGTTGAACCCTCCTTTTGATGGAGCAGTTTTGAAACTGTCTTTTTGTAGAATCTGTAAGTGGATACGTGGACCTCTTTGAAGATTTCTTTGGAAACGGGAATATTTCCACAGAAAAACTAAACTGAAGCATTCTCAGAAACCGCTTTGTGATGTTTGTGTTCGAGCCACAGAGTTTAACATTGCTTTTCATAGAGCAGTTTTGAAATATTCTTTTCGCAGAATCTGCAAGTGGACATTTGGAGCGCTTTCAGGCCTGTGGTGGCAAAGGCCTGAAAGCCTTTTCCTTTATCTTCACAGAAAGACGAGAGAGAAGCATTGTCAGAAACTTCTTTGTGATGATTGCATTCAACTCACAGAGTTGAAGATTCCTTTTGAAACAGCAGTTTCGAAACACTCTTTCTGTGGGATCCGCAAGGGGATATTTGGACCTCTTTGAAGGTTTCGTTGGAAACGGGATAATCTTCACCTAAAAGCTAAACGGAAGCATTCTCAGAAACTTCTTTGGGATGTTTGCATTCACCTCACAGAGTTGAACTTTCCCTTTGATAGCGCAGCTTTGACACACTTTTTCTACAATGTGCAAGTGGCTATTTAGCGGGCTTGGAGGATTGTGTTGGAAAAGGAAATATCTTCTCCTAAAAACGACATAGAAGCATTCTCAGAAACTGCTCTGTGATGATTGCATTCAACTCCCAGAGTTGAACATTCCTTTTGATAGAGCAGTTTGCAAACACTCTTTTTGTAGAATCTGCAAGTGGAGATTTGGACCGCTTTGAGGCCTGTGGTAGTGAAGGAAAGAACTTCATATAAAAACCAGACGGTAGCACTCTCAGAAAATTCTTTGTGACGATGGAGTTTAACTCAGGGAGCTGAACATTCGTTATGATGGAGCAGTTTCCAAACACACGTTTTGTAGAATCTGCAAGGGGATATTTGGACCTCTCTGAGGATTTCGTTGGAAACGGGATCAACTTCCCATAACTGAACGGAAGCAAACTCAGAACGTTCCTTGTGATGTTTGTATTCAACTCACAGAGTTGAACCTTCCTTTGATAGTTCAGGTTTGCAACACCCTTGTAGTAGAATCTGCAAGTGTATATTTTGACCACTTTGTAGCCTTCGTTTGAAACGTCTATATCTTCACATCAAACCTAGACAGAAGCATTCTCAGAAAGTTTTCTGCGATGACTGCATTCAACTCACAGAGTTGAACAATCCTTCTGATGGAGCAGTTTTGAAACCCTCTTTCTTTGGAATCTGCAAGGGGATATGTGGACCTCTTTGAAGATTTCACTGGAAACGGGATCATCTTCACATAAAAACTAAACAGAAGCATTCTCGGAAACTACTTTGTGATGTTTGTATTCAACTCAAAGAGTTGAACTTTCCTTTTGAAAGAGCAGCTATGAAACACTCTTTTTCGAGAATCTGCAAGTGGACGTTTGGAGGGCTTTGAGGCCTGTGGTGGAAAAGGAAACATCTTCACACAAAAACCAGATAGAAGCATTCTCAGAAACTACTTTGTGAGGATGGCATTCAACTCATGGAGTTGAACAATCCTATTGATAGAGCAGATTGGAATCACTCTTTTTATAGAATCTGCAAATGGAGATTTGGACTGCTTTGAGGCCTACGGTAGTACAGGAAGGAACTTCATATAAAAGGCAAACGGAAGCATTCTCAGAATATTCTTTGTGATGATGGAGTTTCACTCACAGAGCTGAACATGCCTTTTGATGGAGCAGTTTCCAAATACACTTTTGGTAGAATCTGCAGGTGGATATTTGGAGCTCTCTGAGGATTTCGTTGGAAACGGGAATAATTTCCCATAACTAAACACAAACACTCTGAGAAAGTTCTTCATGATGAATGCATTTAACTCGCAGAGATGAACCTGCCTTTGAGAGTTCAGGTTCGAAACACTCTTTCTGTATAATCTGCAAGTGGATATTTGGACCACTGGGTGGCCTTCGTTCGAAACGGGTATATGTTCACGTAAAAACTAAAGAGAAGCATTCTCAGAAACTTCTGAGTGATGATTGCATTCAAGTCACACAGTTGAACCCTCCTTTTGATGGAGCAGTTTTGAAACTGTCTTTTTGTAGAATCTGTAAGTGGATACGTGGACCTCTTTGAAGATTTCTTTGGAAACGGGAATATTTCCACAGAAAAACTAAACTGAAACATTCTCAGAAACCGCTTTGTGATGTTTGTGTTCCAGCCACAGAGTTTAACATTGCTTTTCATAGAGCAGTTTTGAAATATTCTTTTCGCAGAATCTGCAAGTGGACATTTGGAGCGCTTTCAGGCCTGTGGTGGAAAAGGCCTGAAAGCCTTTTCCTTTATCTTCACAGAAAGACGAGAGAGAAGCATTGTCAGAAACTTCTTTGTGATGATTGCATTCAACTCACAGAGTTGAAGATTCCTTTTGAAACAGCAGTTTTGAAACACTCTTTCTGTGGGATCCGCAAGGGGATATTTGGACCTCTTTGAAGGTTTCGTTGGAAACGGGATAATCTTCACCTAAAAGCTAAACGGAAGCATTCTCAGAAACTTCTTTGGGATGTTTGCATTCACCTCACAGAGTTGAACTTTCCCTTTGATAGCGCAGCTTTGACACACTTTTTCTACAATGTGCAAGTGGCTATTTAGCGGGCTTGGAGGACTGTGTTGGAAAAGGAAATATCTTCTCCTAAAAACGACATAGAAGCATTCTCAGAAACTGCTCTGTGATGATTGCATTCAACTCCCAGAGTTGAACATTCCTTTTGATAGAGCAGTTTGCAAACACTCTTTTTGTAGAATCTGCAAGTGGAGATTTGGACCGCTTTGAGGCCTGTGGTAGTGAAGGAAAGAACTTCATATAAAAACCAGACGGTAGCACTCTCAGAAAATTCTTTGTGACGATGGAGTTTAACTCAGGGAGCTGAACATTCGTTATGATGGAGCAGTTTCCAAACACACGTTTTGTAGAATCTGCGAGGGGATATTTGGACCTCTCTGAGGATTTCGTTGGAAACTGGATCAACTTCCCATAACTGAACGGAAGCAAACTCAGAACATTCTTTGTGATGTTTGTATTCAACTCACAGAGTTGAACCTTCCTTTGATAGTTCAGGTTTGCAACACCCTTGTAGTAGAATCTGCAAGTGTATATTTTGACCACTTTGTAGCCTTCGTTTGAAACGTCTATATCTTCACATCAAACCTAGACAGAAGCATTCTCAGAAAGTTTTCTGCGATGACTGCATTCAACTCACAGAGTTGAACAATCCTTCTGATGGAGCAGTTTTGAAACCCTCTTTCTTTGGAATCTGCAAGGGGATATGTGGACCTGTTTGAAGATTTCACTGGAAACGGGATCATCTTCACATAAAAACTAAACAGAAGCATTCTCGGAAACTACTTTGTGATGTTTGTATTCAACTCCCAGAGTTGAACTTTCCTTTTGAAAGAGCAGCTATGAAACACTCTTTTTCGAGAATCTGCAAGTGGACGTTTGGAGGGCTTTGAGGCCTGTGGTGGAAAAGGAAATATCTTCACACAAAAACCAGATAGAAGCATTCTCAGAAACTACTTTGTGAGGATGGCATTCAACTCATGGAGTTGAACAATCCTATTGATAGAGCAGATTGGAATCACTCTTTTTGTAGAATCTGCAAATGGAGATTTGGACTGCTTTGAGGCCTACGGTAGTACAGGAAGGAACTTCATATAAAAGGCAAACGGAAGCATTCTCAGAATATTCTTTGTGATGATGGAGTTTCACTCACAGAGCTGAACATGCCTTTTGATGGAGCAGTTTCCAAATACACTTTTGGTAGAATCTGCAGGTGGATATTTGGAGCTCTCTGAGGATTTCGTTGGAAAGGGGAATAATTTCCCATAACTAAACACAAACACTCTGAGAAAGTTCTTCATGATGAATGCATTTAACTCGCAGAGATGAACCTGCCTTTGAGAGTTCAGGTTCGAAACACTCTTTCTGTATAATCTGCAAGTGGATATTTGGACCACTGGGTGGCCTTCGTTCGAAACGGGTATATGTTCACGTAAAAACTAAAGAGAAGCATTCTCAGAAACTTCTGAGTGATGATTGCATTCAAGTCACACGGTTGAACCCTCCTTTTGATGGAGCAGTTTTGAAACTGTCTTTTTGTAGAATCTGTAAGTGGATACGTGGACCTCTTTGAAGATTTCTTTGGAAACGGGAATATTTCCACAGAAAAACTAAACTGAAGCATTCTCAGAAACCGCTTTGTGATGTTTGTGTTCGAGCCGCAGAGTTTAACATTGCTTTTCATAGAGCAGTTTTGAAATATTCTTTTGGCAGAATCTGCAAGTGGACATTTGGAGCGCTTTCAGGCCTGTGGTGGAAAAGGCCTGAAAGCCTTTTCCTTTATCTTCACAGAAAGACGAGAGAGAAGCATTGTCAGAAACTTCTTTGTGATGATTGCATTCAACTCACAGAGTTGAAGATTCCTTTTGAAACAGCAGTTTCGAAACACTCTTTCTGTGGGATCCGCAAGGGGATATTTGGACCTCTTTGAAGGTTTCGTTGGAAACGGGATAATCTTCACCTAAAAGCTAAACGGAAGCATTCTCAGAAACTTCTTTGGGATGTTTGCATTCACCTCACAGAGTTGAACTTTCCCTTTGATAGCGCAGCTTTGACACACTTTTTCTACAATGTGCAAGTGGCTATTTAGCGGGCTTGGAGGACTGTGTTGGAAAAGGAAATATCTTCTCCTAAAAACGACATAGAAGCATTCTCAGAAACTGCTCTGTGATGATTGCATTCAACTCCCAGAGTTGAACATTCCTTTTGATAGAGCAGTTTGCAAACACTCTTTTTGTAGAATCTGCAAGTGGAGATTTAGACCGCTTTGAGGCCTGTGGTAGTGAAGGAAAGAACTTCATATAAAAACCAGACGGTAGCACTCTCAGAAAATTCTTTGTGACGATGTAGTTTAACTCAGGGAGCTGAACATTCGTTATGATGGAGCAGTTTCCAAACACACGTTTTGTAGAATCTGCGAGGGGATATTTGGACCTCTCTGAGGATTTCGTTGGAAACGGGATCAACTTCCCATAACTGAACGGAAGCAAACTCAGAACATTCTTTGTGATGTTTGTATTCAACTCACAGAGTTGAACCTTCCTTTGATAGTTCAGGTTTGCAACACCCTTGTAGTAGAATCTGCAAGTGTATATTTTGACCACTTTGTAGCCTTCGTTTGAAACGTCTATATCTTCACATCAAACCTAGAAAGAAGCATTCTCAGAAAGTTTTCTGCGATGACTGCATTCAACTCACAGAGTTGAACAATCCTTCTGATGGAGCAGTTTTGAAACCCTCTTTCTTTGGAATCTGCAAGGGGATATGTGGACCTCTTTGAAGATTTCACTGGAAACGGGATCATCTTCACATAAAAACTAAACAGAAGCATTCTCGGAAACTATTTTGTGATGTTTGTATTCAACTCCCAGAGTTGAACTTTCCTTTTGAAAGAGCAGCTATGAAACACTCTTTTTCGAGAATCTGCAAGTGGACGTTTGGAGGGCTTTGAGGCCTGTGGTGGAAAAGGAAATATCTTCACACAAAAACCAGATAGAAGCATTCTCAGAAACGACTTTGTGAGGATGGCATTCAACTCATGGAGTTGAACAATCCTATTGATAGAGCAGATTGGAATCACTCTTTTTGTAGAATCTGCAAATGGAGATTTGGACTGCTTTGAGGCCTACGGTAGTACAGGAAGGAACTTCATATAAAAGGCAAACGGAAGCATTCTCAGAATATTCTTTGTGATGATGGAGTTTCACTCACAGAGCTGAACATGCCTTTTGATGGAGCAGTTTCCAAATACACTTTTGGTAGAATCTGCAGGTGGATATTTGGAGCTCTCTGAGGATTTCGTTGGAAACGGGAATAATTTCCCATAACTAAACACAAACACTCTGAGAAAGTTCTTCATGATGAATGCATTTAACTCGCAGAGATGAACCTGCCTTTGAGAGTTCAGGTTCGAAACACTCTTTCTGTATAATCTGCAAGTGGATATTTGGACCACTGGGTGGCCTTCGTTCGAAACGGGTATATGTTCACGTAAAAACTAAAGAGAAGCATTCTCAGAAACTTCTGAGTGATGATTGCATTCAAGTCACACAGTTGAACCCTCCTTTTGATGGAGCAGTTTTGAAACTGTCTTTTTGTAGAATCTGTAAGTGGATACGTGGACCTCTTTGAAGATTTCTTTGGAAACGGGAATATTTCCACAGAAAAACTAAACTGAAACATTCTCAGAAACCGCTTTGTGATGTTTGTGTTCCAGCCACAGAGTTTAACATTGCTTTTCATAGAGCAGTTTTGAAATATTCTTTTGGCAGAATCTGCAAGTGGACATTTGGAGCGCTTTCAGGCCTGTGGTGGGAAAAGGCCTGAAAGCCTTTTCCTTTATCTTCACAGAAAGACGAGAGAGAAGCATTGTCAGAAACTTCTTTGTGATGATTGCATTCAACTCACAGAGTTGAAGATTCCTTTTGAAACAGCAGTTTCGAAACACTCTTTCTGTGGGATCCGCAAGGGGATATTTGGACCTCTTTGAAGGTTTCGTTGGAAACGGGATAATCTTCACCTAAAAGCTAAACGGAAGCATTCTCAGAAACTTCTTTGGGATGTTTGCATTCACCTCACAGAGTTGAACTTTCCCTTTGATAGCGCAGCTTCGACACACTTTTTCTACAATGTGCAAGTGGATATTTAGCGGGCTTGGAGGACTGTGTTGGAAAAGGAAATATCTTCTCCTAAAAACGACATAGAAGCATTCTCAGAAACTGCTCTGTGATGATTGCATTCAACTCCCAGAGTTGAACATTCCTTTTGATAGAGCAGTTTGCAAACACTCTTTTTGTAGAATCTGCAAGTGGAGATTTGGACCGCTTTGAGGCCTGTGGTAGTAAAGGAAAGAACTTCATATAAAAACTAGACGGTAGCACTCTCAGAAAATTCTTTGTGACGATGGAGTTTAACTCAGAGAGCTGAACATTCGTTATGATGGAGCAGTCTCCAAACACACGTTTTGTAGAATCTGCAAGGGGATATTTGGACTTCTCTGAGGATTTCGTTGGAAACGGGATCAACTTCCCATAACTGAACGGAAGCAAACTCAGAACATTCTTTGTGATGTTTGTATTCAACTCACAGAGTTGAACCTTCCTTTGATAGTTCAGGTTTGCAACACCCTTGTAGTAGAATCTGCAAGTGTATATTTTGACCACTTTGTAGCCTTCGTTTGAAACGTCTATATCTTCACATCAAACCTAGACAGAAGCATTCTCAGAAAGTTTTCTGCGATGACTGCATTCAACTCACAGAGTTGAACAATCCTTCTGATGGAGCAGTTTTGAAACCCTCTTTCTTTGGAATCTGCAAGGGGATATGTGGACCTCTTTGAAGATTTCACTGGAAACGGGATCATCTTCACATAAAAACTAAACAGAAGCATTCTCGGAAACTACTTTGTGATGTTTGTATTCAACTCCCAGAGTTGAACTTTCCTTTTGAAAGAGCAGCTATGAAACACTCTTTTTCGAGAATCTGCAAGTGGACGTTTGGAAGGCTTTGAGGCCTGTGGTGGAAAAGGAAATATCTTCACATAAAAACTAGATAGAAGCATTCTCAGAAACGACTTTGTGAGGATGGCATTCAACTCATGGAGTTGAACAATCCTATTGATAGAGCAGATTGGAATCACTCTTTTTGTAGAATCTGCAAATGGAGATTTGGACTGCTTTGAGGCCTACGGTCGTATAGGAAGGAACTTCATATAAAAGGCAAACGGAAGCATTCTCAGAATATTCTTTGTGATGATGGAGTTTCACTCACAGAGCTGAACATGCCTTTTGATGGAGCAGTTTCCAAATACACTTTTGGTAGAATCTGCAGGTGGATATTTGGAGCTCTCTGAGGATTTCGTTGGAAACGGGAATAATTTCCCATAACTAAACACAAACACTCTGAGAAAGTTCTTCATGATGAATGCATTTAACTCGCAGAGATGAACCTGCCTTTGAGAGTTCAGGTTCGAAACACTCTTTCTGTAGAATCTGCAAGTGGATATTTGGACCACTGGGTGGCCTTCGTTCGAAACGGGTATATGTTCACAGTAAAAACTAAAGAGAAGCATTCTCAGAAACTTCTGAGTGATGATTGCATTCAAGTCACACAGTTGAACCCTCCTTTTGATGGAGCAGTTTTGAAACTGTCTTTTTGTAGAATCTGTAAGTGGATACGTGGACCTCTTTGAAGATTTCTTTGGAAACGGGAATATTTCCACAGAAAAACTAAACTTAAGCATTCTCAGAAACCGCTTTGTGATGTTTGTGTTCGAGCCACAGAGTTTAACATTGCTTTTCATAGAGCAGTTTTGAAATATTCTTTTCGCAGAATCTGCAAGTGGACATTTGGAGCGCTTTCAGGCCTGTGGTGGAAAAGGCCTGAAAGCCTTTTCCTTTATCTTCACAGAAAGACGAGAGAGAAGCATTGTCAGAAACTTCTTTGTGATGATTGCATTCAACTCACAGAGTTGAAGATTCCTTTTGAAACAGCAGTTTCGAAACACTCTTTCTGTGGGATCCGCAAGGGGATATTTGGACCTCTTTGAAGGTTTCGTTGGAAACGGGATAATCTTCACCTAAAAGCTAAACGGAAGCATTCTCAGAAACTTCTTTGGGATGTTTGCATTCACCTCACAGAGTTGAAATTTCCCTTTGATAGCGCAGCTTTGACACACTTTTTCTACAATGTGCAAGTGGCTATTTAGCGGGCTTGGAGGACTGTGTTGGAAAAGGAAATATCTTCTCCTAAAAACGACATAGAAGCATTCTCAGAAACTGCTCTGTGATGATTGCATTCAACTCCCAGAGTTGAACATTCCTTTTGATAGAGCAGTTTGCAAACACTCTTTTTGTAGAATCTGCAAGTGGAGATTTGGACCGCTTTGAGGCCTGTGGTAGTGAAGGAAAAAACTTCATATAAAAACCAGACGGTAGCACTCTCAGAAAATTCTTTGTGACGATGGAGTTTAACTCAGAGAGCTGAACATTCGTTATGATGGAGCAGTTTCCAAACACACGTTTTGTAGAATCTGTGAGGGGATATTTGGACCTCTCTGAGGATTTCGTTGGAAACGGGATCAACTTCCCATAACTGAACGGAAGCAAACTCAGAACATTCTTTGTGATGTTTGTATTCAACTCACAGAGTTGAACCTTCCTTTGATAGTTCAGGTTTGCAACACTCTTGTAGTAGAATCTGCAAGTGTATATTTTGACCACTTTGTAGCCTTCGTTTGAAACGTCTATATCTTCACATCAAACCTAGACAGAAGCATTCTCAGAAAGTTTTCTGCGATGACTGCATTCAACTCACAGAGTTGAACAATCCTTCTGATGGAGCAGTTTTGAAACCCTCTTTCTTTGGAATCTGCAAGGGGATATGTGGACCTCTTTGAAGCTTTCACTGGAAACGGGATCATCTTCACATAAAAACTAAACAGAAGCATTCTCGGAAACTATTTTGTGATGTTTGTATTCAACTCCCAGAGTTGAACTTTCCTTTTGAAAGAGCAGCTATGAAACACTCTTTTTCGAGAATCTGCAAGTGGACGTTTGGAGGGCTTTGAGGCCTGTGGTGGAAAAGGAAATATCTTCACACAAAAACCAGATAGAAGCATTCTCAGAAACTGCTTTGTGAGGATGGCATTCAACTCATGGAGTTGAACAATCCTATTGATAGAGCAGATTGGAATCACTCTTTTTGTAGAATCTGCAAATGGAGATTTGGACTGCTTTGAGGCCTACAGTAGTACAGGAAGGAACTTCATATAAAAGGCAAACGGAAGCATTCTCAGAATATTCTTTGTGATGATGGAGTTTCACTCACAGAGCTGAACATGCCTTTTGATGGAGCAGTTTCCAAATACACTTTTGGTAGAATCTGCAGGTGGATATTTGGAGCTCTCTGAGGATTTCGTTGGAAACGGGAATAATTTCCCATAACTAAACACAAACACTCTGAGAAAGTTCTTCATGATGAATGCATTTAACTAACAGAGATGAACCTGCCTTTGAGAGTTCAGGTTCGAAACACTCTTTCTGTAGAATCTGCAAGTGGATATTTGGACCACTGGGTGGCCTTCGTTCGAAACGGGTATATGTTCACAGTAAAAACTAAAGAGAAGCATTCTCAGAAACTTCTGAGTGATGATTGCATTCAAGTCACACAGTTGAACCCTCCTTTTGATGGAGCAGTTTTGAAACTGTCTTTTTGTAGAATCTGTAAGTGGATACGTGGACCTCTTTGAAGATTTCTTTGGAAACGGGAATATTTCCACAGAAAAACTAAACTGAAGCATTCTCAGAAACCGCTTTGTGATGTTTGTGTTCAAGCCACAGAGTTTAACATTGCTTTTCATAGAGCAGTTTTGAAATATTCTTTTCGCAGAATCTGCAAGTGGACATTTGGAGCGCTTTCAGGCCTGTGGTGGAAAAGGCCTGAAAGCCTTTTCCTTTATCTTCACAGAAAGACGAGAGAGAAGCATTGTCAGAAACTTCTTTGTGATGATTGCATTCAACTCACAGAGTTGAAGATTCCTTTTGAAACAGCAGTTTCGAAACACTCTTTCTGTGGGATCCGCAAGGGGATATTTGGACCTCTTAGAAGGTTTCGTTGGAAACGGGATTATCTTCACCTAAAAGCTAAACGGAAGCATTCTCAGAAACTTCTTTGGGATGTTTGCATTCACCTCACAGAGTTGAACTTTCCCTTTGATAGCGCAGCTTCGACACACTTTTTCTACAATGTGCAAGTGGCTATTTAGCGGGCTTGGAGGACTGTGTTGGAAAAGGAAATATCTTCTCCTAAAAACGACATAGAAGCATTCTCAGAAACTGCTCTGTGATGATTGCATTCAACTCCCAGAGTTGAACATTCCTTTTGATAGAGCAGTTTGCAAACACTCTTTTTGTAGAATCTGCAAGTGGAGATTTGGACCGCTTTGAGGCCTGTGGTAGTGAAGGAAAGAACTTCATATAAAAACCAGACGGTAGCACTCTCAGAAAATTCTTTGTGACGATGGAGTTTAACTCAGGGAGCTGAACATTCGTTATGATGGAGCAGTTTCCAAACACACGTTTTGTAGAATCTGCAAGGGGATATTTAGACCTCTCTGAGGATTTCGTTGGAAACGGGATCAACTTCCCATAACTGAACGGAAGCAAACTCAGAACATTCTTTGTGATGTTTGTATTCAACTCACAGAGTTGAACCTTCCTTTGATAGTTCAGGTTTGCAACACCCTTGTAGTAGAATCTGCAAGTGTATATTTTGACCACTTTGTAGCCTTCGTTTGAAACGTCTATATCTTCACATCAAACCTAGAAAGAAGCATTCTTAGAAAGTTTTCTGCGATGACTGCATTCAACTCACAGAGTTGAACAATCCTTCTGATGGAGCAGTTTTGAAACCCTCTTTCTTTGGAATCTGCAAGGGGATATGTGGACCTCTTTGAAGATTTCACTGGAAACGGGATCATCTTCACATAAAAACTAAATATAAGCATTCTCGGAAACTACTTTGGGATGTTTGTATTCAACTCCCAGAGTTGAACTTTCCTTTTGAAAGAGCAGCTATGAAACACTCTTTTTCGAGAATCTGCAAGTGGACGTTTGGAGGGCTTTGAGGCCTGTGGTGGAAAAGGAAATATCTTCACATAAAAACTAGATAGAAGCATTCTCACAAACGACATTGTGAGGATGGAATTCAACTCATGGAGTTGAACAATCCTATTGATAGAGCAGATTGGAATCACTCTTTTTGTAGAATCTGCAAATGGAGATTTGGACTGCTTTGAGGCCTACGGTAGTATAGGAAGGAACTTCATATAAAAGGCAAACGGAAGCATTCTCAGAATATCCTTTGTGATGATGGAGTTTCACTCACAGAGCTGAACATGCCTTTTGATGGAGCAGTTTCCAAATACACTTTTGGTAGAATCTGCAGGTGGATATTTGGAGCTCTCTGAGGATTTCGTTGGAAACGGGAATAATTTCCCATAACTAAACACAAACACTCTGAGAAAGTTCTTCATGATGAATGCATTTAACTCGCAGAGATGAACCTGCCTTTGAGAGTTCAGGTTCGAAACACTCTTTCTGTAGAATCTGCAAGTGGATATTTGGACCACTGGGTGGCCTTCGTTCGAAACGGGTATATGTTCACATAAAAACTAAAAAGAAGCATTCTCAGAAACTTCTGAGTGATGATTGCATTCAAGTCACACAGTTGAACCCTCCTTTTGATGGAGCAGTTTTGAAACTGTCTTTTTGTAGAATCTGTAAGTGGATACGTGGACCTCTTTGAAGATTTCTTTGAAAACGGGAATATTTCCACAGAAAAACTAAACTGAAGCATTCTCAGAAACTGCTTTGTGATGTTTGTGTTCGAGCCACAGAGTTTAACATTGCTTTTCATAGAGCAGTTTTGAAATATTCTTTTGGCAGAATCTGCAAGTGGACATTTGGAGCGCTTTCAGGCCTGTGGTGGAAAAGGCCTGAAAGCCTTTTCCTTTATCTTCACAGAAAGACGAGAGAGAAGCATTGTCAGAAACTTCTTTTTGATGATTGCATTCAACTCACAGAGTTGAAGATTCCTTTTGAAACAGCAGTTTCGAAACACTCTTTCTGTGGGATCCGCAAGGGGATATTTGGACCTCTTTGAAGGTTTCGTTGGAAACGGGATAATCTTCACCTAAAAGCTAAACGGAAGCATTCTCAGAAACTTCTTTGGGATGTTTGCATTCACCTCACAGAGTTGAACTTTCCCTTTGATAGCGCAGCTTTGACACACTTTTTCTACAATGTGCAAGTGGCTATTTAGCGGGCTTGGAGGACTGTGTTGGAAAAGGAAATATCTTCTCCTAAAAACGACATAGAAGCATTCTCAGAAACTGCTCTGTGATGATTGCATTCAACTCCCAGAGTTGAACATTCCCTTTTGATAGAGCAGTTTGCAAACACTCTTTTTGTAGAATCTGCAAGTGGAGATTTGGACCGCTTTGAGGCCTGTGGTAGTGAAGGAAAGAACTTCATATAAAAACCAGACGGTAGCACTTTCAGAAAATTCTTTGTGACGATGGAGTTTAACTCAGGGAGCTGAACATTCGTTATGATGGAGCAGTTTCCAAACACACGTTTTGTAGAATCTGCAAGGGGATATTTGGACCTCTCTGAGGATTTCGTTGGAAACGGGATCAACTTCCCATAACTGAACGGAAGCAAACTCAGAACATTCTTTGTGATGTTTGTATTCAACTCACAGAGTTGAACCTTCCTTTGATAGTTCAGGTTTGCAACACCCTTGTAGTAGAATCTGCAAGTGTATATTTTGACCACTTTGTAGCCTTCGTTTGAAACGTCTATATCTTCACATCAAACCTAGACAGAAGCATTCTCAGAAAGTTTTCTGCGATGACTGCATTCAACTCACAGAGTTGAACAATCCTTCTGATGGAGCAGTTTTGAAACCCTCTTTCTTTGGAATCTGCAAGGGGATATGTGGACCTCTTTGAAGATTTCACTGGAAACGGGATCATCTTCACATAAAAACTAAACAGAAGCATTCTCGGAAACTACTTTGTGATGTTTGTATTCAACTCCCAGAGTTGAACTTTCCTTTTGAAAGAGCAGCTATGAAACACTCTTTTTCGAGAATCTGCAAGTGGACGTTTGGAGGGCTTTGAGGCCTGTGGTGGAAAAGGAAATATCTTCACACAAAAACCAGATAGAAGCATTCTCAGAAACTGCTTTGTGAGGATGGCATTCAACTCATGGAGTTGAACAATCCTATTGATAGAGCAGATTGGAATCACTCTTTTTGTAGAATCTGCAAATGGAGATTTGGACTGCTTTGAGGCCTACGGTAGTACAGGAAGGAACTTCATATAAAAGGCAAACGGAAGCATTCTCAGAATATTCTTTGTGATGATGGAGTTTCACTCACAGAGCTGAACATGCCTTTTGATGGAGCAGTTTCCAAATACACTTTTGGTAGAATCTGCAGGTGGATATTTGGAGCTCTCTGAGGATTTCGTTGGAAACGGGAATAATTTCCCATAACTAAACACAAACACTCTGAGAAAGTTCTTCATGATGAATGCATTTAACTCGCAGAGATGAACCTGCCTTTGAGAGTTCAGGTTCGAAACACTCTTTCTGTATAATCTGCAAGTGGATATTTGGACCACTGGGTGGCCTTCGTTCGAAACGGGTATATGTTCACGTAAAAACTAAAGAGAAGCATTCTCAGAAACTTCTGAGTGATGATTGCATTCAAGTCACACGGTTGAACCCTCCTTTTGATGGAGCAGTTTTGAAACTGTCTTTTTGTAGAATCTGTAAGTGGATACGTGGACCTCTTTGAAGATTTCTTTGGAAACGGGAATATTTCCACAGAAAAACTAAACTGAAGCATTCTCAGAAACCGCTTTGTGATGTTTGTGTTCGAGCCGCAGAGTTTAACATTGCTTTTCATAGAGCAGTTTTGAAATATTCTTTTGGCAGAATCTGCAAGTGGACATTTGGAGCGCTTTCAGGCCTGTGGTGGAAAAGGCCTGAAAGCCTTTTCCTTTATCTTCACAGAAAGACGAGAGAGAAGCATTGTCAGAAACTTCTTTGTGATGATTGCATTCAACTCACAGAGTTGAAGATTCCTTTTGAAACAGCAGTTTCGAAACACTCTTTCTGTGGGATCCGCAAGGGGATATTTGGACCTCTTTGAAGGTTTCGTTGGAAACGGGATAATCTTCACCTAAAAGCTAAACGGAAGCATTCTCAGAAACTTCTTTGGGATGTTTGCATTCACCTCACAGAGTTGAACTTTCCCTTTGATAGCGCAGCTTTGACACACTTTTTCTACAATGTGCAAGTGGCTATTTAGCGGGCTTGGAGGACTGTGTTGGAAAAGGAAATATCTTCTCCTAAAAACGACATAGAAGCATTCTCAGAAACTGCTCTGTGATGATTGCATTCAACTCCCAGAGTTGAACATTCCTTTTGATAGAGCAGTTTGCAAACACTCTTTTTGTAGAATCTGCAAGTGGAGATTTGGACCGCTTTGAGGCCTGTGGTAGTGAAGGAAAGAACTTCATATAAAAACCAGACGGTAGCACTCTCAGAAAATTCTTTGTGACGATGGAGTTTAACTCAGGGAGCTGAACATTCGTTATGATGGAGCAGTTTCCAAACACACGTTTTGTAGAATCTGCGAGGGGATATTTGGACCTCTCTGAGGATTTCGTTGGAAACGGGATCAACTTCCCATAACTGAACGGAAGCAAACTCAGAACATTCTTTGTGATGTTTGTATTCAATTCACAGAGTTGAACCTTCCTTTGATAGTTCAGGTTTGCAACACCCTTGTAGTAGAATCTGCAAGTGTATATTTTGACCACTTTGTAGCCTTCGTTTGAAACGTCTATATCTTCACATCAAACCTAGACAGAAGCATTCTCAGAAAGTTTTCTGTGATGACTGCATTCAACTCACAGAGTTGAACAATCCTTCTGATGGAGCAGTTTTGAAACCCTCTTTCTTTGGAATCTGCAAGGGGATATGTGGACCTCTTTGAAGATTTCACTGGAAACGGGATCATCTTCACATAAAAACTAAACAGAAGCATTCTCGGAAACTACTTTGTGATGTTTGTATTCAACTCCCAGAGTTGAACTTTCCTTTTGAAAGAGCAGCTATGAAACACTCTTTTTCGAGAATCTGCAAGTGGACGTTTGGAGGGCTTTGAGGCCTGTGGTGGAAAAGGAAATATCTTCACATAAAAACTAGATAGAAGCATTCTCAGAAACGACTTTGTGAGGATGGCATTCAACTCATGGAGTTGAACAATCCTATTGATAGAGCAGATTGGAATCACTCTTTTTGTAGAATCTGCAAATGGAGATTTGGACTGCTTTGAGGCCTACGGTAGTATAGGAAGGAACTTCATATAAAAGGCAAACGGAAGCATTCTCAGAATATTCTTTGTGATGATGGAGTTTCACTCACAGAGCTGAACATGCCTTTTCATGGAGCAGTTTCCAAATACACTTTTGGTAGAATCTGCAGGTGGATATTTGGAGCTCTCTGAGGATTTCGTTGGAAACGGGAATAATTTTCCATAACTAAACACAAACACGCTGAGAAAGTTCTTCATGATGAATGCATTGAACTCGCAGAGATGAACCTGCCTTTGAGAGTTCAGGTTCGAAACACTCTTTCTGTAGAATCTGCAAGTGGATATTTGGACCACTGGGTGGCCTTCGTTCGAAACGGGTATATGTTCACCTAAAAACTAAAGAGAAGCATTCTGAGAAACTTCTGTGTGATGATTGCATTCAAGTCACAGGGTTGAACCCTCCTTTTGATTGAGCAGTTTTGAATCTGTCTTTTTGTAGAATCTGTAAGTGGATATGTGGACCTCTTTGAAGATTTCTTTGGAAATGGGATTATCTCCACAGAAAAACTAAACTGAAGCATTCTCAGAAACTGATTTGTGATGTTTGTGTTCGAGCCACAGAGTTTAACATTGCTTTTCATAGAGCAGTTTTGAAACATTCTGTTCGCAGAATCTGCAAGAGGACATTTGGAGCGCTTTCAGGCCTGTGGTGGAAAAGGAAATATCTTCACATAAAGACGAGAGAGAAGCATTCTCAGAAACTTCTTTGTGATGATTGCATTCAATTCACAGAGTTGAAGACTCCTTTTGAAACAGCAGTTTCGAAACACTCTTTCTGTGGGATCCGCAAGGGGATATTTGGACCTCTTTGAAGATTTCGTTGGAAACGGGATAATCTTCACCTAAAAGCTAAACGGAAGCATTCTCAGAAACTTCTTTGGGACGTTTGCATTCACCTCACACAGTTGAACTTTCCCTTTGATAGCGCAGCTTTAACACACTTTTTCTAGAATGTGCAAGTGGATATTTAGCGGGCTTGGAGGACTGTGGTGGAAAAGGAAATATCTACTCCTAAGAACCACATAGAAGCATTCTCAGAAACTGCTCTGTGATGAATGCATTCAACTCCCAGAGTTGAACATTCATTTTGATAGAGCAGTTTGCAATCACTCCTTTGTAGAATCTGCAAGTGGAGATTTGGACCGCTTTGAGGCCTGTGGTAGTAAAGGAAAGAACTTCACATGAAACGTAGACAGTAGCACTCTCACAAAATTCCTTGTGACGATTGAGTTTAACTCAGAGAGCTGAACATTCGTTTTGATGGAGCAGTTTCCAAACACACTTTTTGTAGAATCTGCAAGGGGATATTTAGACCTCTCTGAGGATTTCGTTGGAAACGGGATCAACTTCCCATAACTGAACGGAGGCATTCTCAGAAACATCTTTGTGATGTTTGCATTCAACTCAGAGAGTGCAAACTTCCTTTGATAGTGCAAGTTTGCAACACCCTTGTAGTAGAATCTGCAAGTGTATATTTTGACCACTTTGTAGCCTTCGTTTGAAACGTCTATATCTTCACATCAAACCTAGACAGAAGCATTCTCAGAAAGTTTTCTGCGATGACTGCATTCAACTCACAGAGTTGAACAATCCTTTTGATGGAGCAGTTTTGAAACCCTCTTTCTTTGGAATCTGCAAGGGGATATGTGGACCTCTTTGAAGATTTCACTGGAAACGGGATCATCTTCACATAAGAACTAAACAGAAGCATTCTCGGAAACTACTTTGTGATGTTTGTATTCAACTCTCAGAGTTGAACTTTCCTTTTGAAAGAGCAGCTATGAAACACTCTTTTTCGAGAATCTGCAAGTGGACGTTTGGAGGGCTTTGAGGCCTGTGGTGGAAAAGGAAATATCTTCACATAAAAACTAGATAGAAGCATTCTCAGAAACGACTTTGTGAGGATGACCTTCAACTCATGGAGTTGAACAATCCTATTGATAGAGCAGATTGGAATCACTCTTTTTGTAGAATCTGCAAATGGAGATTTGGACTGCTTTGAGGCCTACGGTAGTATAGGAAGGAACTTCATATAAAAGGCAAACGGAAGCATTCTCAGAATATTCTTTGTGATGATGGAGTTTCACTCACAGAGCTGAACATGCCTTTTGATGGAGCAGTTTCCAAATACACTTTTGGTAGAATCTGCAGGTGGATATTTGGACCTCTCTGAGGATTTCGTTGGAAACGGCAATAATTTCCCATAACTAAACACAAACACGCTGAGAAAGTTCTTCATGTTGAATGCATTGAACTCGCAGAGATGAACCTGCCTTTGAGAGTTCAGGTTCGAAACACTCTTTCTGTAGAATCTGCAAGTGGATATTTGGACCACTGGGTGGCCTTCGTTCGAAACGGGTATATGTTCACGTAAAAACTAA